>NC_000003.12:128857089-129008604 GCF_000001405.40 Homo sapiens | reverse complement strand
CACGGGGATTGGTCCACAGAACGTGCTTAGAAAATACTGTTGAATGAATTAAATAAATGTCTCCAATTGCTTACATATTTATTGTCCATCCTGTTAGGCTGCTGGTCAAGATGGTGGTTTGGGGTGCTATGAGAAGCCCCTCTTCCATCTACAAATATGTTGAAATGCTGGATAAAATAGAACTATTTAAAAGAATATAGAGCCAAAGTCAAAATCAAGAAGAGGAGACCTCCAACTTGTGTGGAAAGCAGGAGATGGAGCTGAAACGCCCATGGAGGGATTAGGGACAGGAGACCTTGCATAGTGAGTTACAGAAGGAGACTCCCTGCATGAGGCCAGGGGCCAGCAAGGGCTGTCTTATCCATGAACAAAAATGAAAAATATTCCACCTATTGGTCTTGGGGTTTTGTTCCCAGGTATGGGACTCAATCTCTCACTACCTGTGCAGCTAGGAAACTCCACGCTAAGTATCAAAATTAAAAACTGGTCTAGAATCAGGGCCTGGTGGAGGCAGATGGAAAACTGCTCTGAAGGGAACTCTACAGCCAGTTCTATGTGTGACTCTCAAGGATCATGGCCCTGCCAAAGACGGCTCACAGCCCAAAATGACAGTGCCTGCCAAGAATGCCTCATCATGACAAAGACAGCAGGTGTAAAACATCTCAGGAAGCTCAGATATTACAGCAATCCACAAGAGACTTTAAAATTAGTATGGTTGAATGCTACAGAGATAAAGGATTAGACAGAACCTACAACACAAGGACTGATAAGGATGAAAAAGAAAGTACAGGTCTGAAAAAGAACTCAATAGAAGCCCTAACATGAACAATAGAGTCATCAAGATCCCATTTTAGGAAAGTGGCAGCACAGTTTGACTCAAAGTTAGGAAATTCAACGCAGTCTAAATTCAGCTGAGTTTGGGTATGTGACTTTAGTAAAACCACTCCCAACCCCAAGGGTCTATTTCCTTATTTGAAACATCCGACATAATACCAACCTTAGAGGGAAGATGAGAAGATCAGCGTGAGTCAGTATCTGTGAAAGTGCTTTGAACACTGGGAGATGCTGGAAAGGTGTTTGTTGGGTCATTTATTCTAACCAAATGGCTTCAAGCTGTCATTCTCAGGGGGAGTTCAGTCATTGCTCTGTTTTCTCCCCAAAGACACATCTGCAGAGCACCTAGAGACATTCCAGAGTGATGTCACTTAAGAGGGTGTGATGGGGCTCTACTGTTTGGGGCATGGGGCCCTTTCCTCCCGGTAATTCCTCTAGAATGCAGCCCTCTAGGCCAACTGCAGAGGACGGGGCTGATTCAGCTCAATAGTCACGGACATCTGAGCTTCTGGCACTTGAAAAGCAAAAGCAGAGGTGAATTGTAGCCTACAGTCCCTCCCCAGCCAGTAAAATGTCCGGCCGATGTTTCTGGGGTAGGAGAATCCAGAAGGATTTGTGCATACTACCAAACCCAACTTGAGCTTGTGGTTGGGGCCATCAGGCTGGGCTGTGAGTCCTGCCCTTGCCACTAAGTCGCTGTGCCACACTGGACAGCTGCTTCCTCTCTGGTCTTGGTTTTCTTGTCTGTGAAATGCTGACAGTAACACTTTTCTTTTAGACTAGAGGCCCCATGAGCTTACATGAAAAAGTGCCTGGTATGCAGTTGATGCTCAATAAATGCCCATGGCTATTCTGTCTCCTCTCCTTTTCCTTCTTTTCAGAGTGAGAGCTTTGGGGCAGGTCAGTCCACAAACCAGCAAACTTTGACCACAGAAAATGGGCAGAGGAGGTCAGCCCCCCGGGCAAGGTAGGGTTGAAGGCATGTTTCTAGAGGGGCAGAGAAATTAGTGACACAGCCATCTGCCTAATCACCGTGTGCCCTTCACATAGCATCACTCATTCTCTGGTCCTCAATTTCCTCATCACTAGGTGTTTTCTTCAAAGCCTCTGCAATAGCTGCTCCTACTTCTTCCTTACTAACAGAACCCCACTTTTGGCCGGGCACAGTGGCTCACACCTGTAATCCCAGCACTTTGGGAGGCCAAGGCAAGCAGATCACCTGAGGTCAGGTGTTTGAGACCAGACTGGCCAATATGGTGAAACCCCATCTCTACTAAAAATACAAAAATTACCTGGGCATGGTGGCATGCATCTTTAATCCCAGCTATGGGGAGGCTGAGGCAGGAGAATCTTTTGAACCTGGGAGGCAGAGATTGCAGTGAGCCAAGATCGCACCATTGCACTCCAGCCTGGGTGACAGAGCAAGACTGTCTCAAAAAACAAACAAACGAACAAAAAACAGAACTCCAGTTTTGTTTGGGACTGACTAACAGGACTAGCCTCGCAGGTTTCTTCTTATGCCCGATCAGCAGATGCAAGGTCTGGAGGCACAGCAGCCATCGTGTAACTGTGAATCGAAGCACACAGGCAGTGGGGCCAGGCTGATTTGACTTTCCTACTTTCTGGCTGTGTGGCCTTGGGTACATTACTTAACTTCTCAGTGCCTCATTTCTCACAATCTGTAAACTGGGGATAAAACATCTACCTTGTACAACCTTATGGGGACTAAATGGTGCATTGGCTATGAATCCACTTTTTCTATTGTAAAGGGCTATGCCAATGTTTGTAGTCACTTGTAGCATTCTGCTATAGAGGACTAGTTGTGATTTTAGAAATAAACAAAGAAGAGCCCCTTTATTTCTCCTCTTGGATAAAGTTCCAAGGCTGGATGTGGGCCTCAAGCCAACCAGCCCTGCTCTTTAGCCATCAGCTATGCAAACAGGAAGTGGCTCTCCAAACACTGCATGCTGCAGGAGGCTGGCCCAGAGTCTGCCTCTTTGGAGGCCTCCCTCTAGCCCCATGCCTTACCATCTCCCAGCTGTGAGCTTCTCAGATGTCCAGTAGGTTCAAGGCCACCCCTTCTGGCTGCTCCACCCCCAGCCTGGGCTAGACCACCTTCCTCTCAGGATCAGGGATGGCAGGAGCCCCTCACTGGGCTCTGCACTGTCTCCTGCTCTCCCCATCTGCCCATCTCTTTGTCACATTGTAGCCAGGGTAACTTTTTATTGAAATCTGCTTCTGTCACCTCCTTACTTAAAACTTTTCCATGGTTTCATGTTCTTTCTCTTAAGGGAAAAACTGAAATCCTTGCTGCCACCTTCCAGGCCCTAAATGGGCCTCCCTTCAGCTCTACCCCTCCAGCCACTCTGGCCTCCTTTTAGTTTTTGAATGGTCCCTTCTGCCCTAGGGCTTTGCCCGTACTGTTCCAATTTTCTAGAATGGAATGTTCTCTCTTCTCCTCTCTCCATCTGGCCCGGTAACATCCTATCCTCAAGTGTCACTTCTTTGGGGGCAGGCTGATGAGTGTCCCCCACCTCCTGCCTGCTGCCACGCATCTGTTCCTGTGAAGGTCTCACCTGCTCACAGGTGGCTGCTCAGGGCAGGGAATTCAGTCTGTCCTAGTCACGTGGTCACATCCCTGATGCCTGGGATGGCCCCTGGCACACAGAAAGTGCTCAGCAAATGTGTAGTCAGGCCGGCCAGCAGGCAGGGGTGACTTGTGATTTGAAAGGGAGAGAGGCTCTGTCTACCAAGCATCTACCATGTGCCAGGCAGGACCTCATGGCCTCTTCACAGCCACTCCCACAGGCAGGGACCCCAATCTGTGTTCCACCCAAGAGGAAGCAGGGTCTGTGAGGGGTGGTGACTTGCCCACACTCACACGTCTGCCAAAAGCCCTGCCAAGATTTGAACCTGGGTCCCAAGTCCAGCTTCCTGCCCTGGTGGAGCTAGCACAGGCAGTCATTACACACCTGTTTCCTCATCTACAGAGTGGAAACATAGCAGTACCCACCTCACAGGGCAGCTGTGAGGCTTAAATGAGTTAAGCCACATAAAGTACTTAGCTCAAGGCCTGGCAAACAGCGAGTGCTTAGTAACTGTAAGCTATTATCATTATGATCGAATCCAGGAACAAATAAGAATGAGCACATTCAACTGCAATCTATGATAAACAAATAGAGGGTGTTTGTGGATGAACAGGAGGATGGATGGACGGCTGGCTGGCTGGGTGGGTGGGGGGATGGATGGATGATGGATGGGTGGGTGGGTGAGTGGATGGGTGGGTGAGTGAGTGGATGGATGAATAGATGGATGGACGGGTGGGTAGGTGAGTGGATAGGTGGATGGATGAATGGGTGAGTGGATGGATGGGTGAGTGGATGGATGGGTGGGTGGGGGGGGTGAGTGAATGGACAAATGGATGGATGGATGGGTGGGTGTGTGGGGTGGGTGAATGGATGGACAGATGGATGGATAAATGGATGGGTGGGCAGATGGTTGCAGAGCAAGCAATGGAGCAGACTTATAACTTAAGAAATGGAGAACTGACAAAGGAATGAAAGAATACATGAATAAACGCATGGAGAAACTGCGGAACACGAGAGCGCGTGGGAGGGGGATTGCACACCCGAAGTTTGGGAAAATGGGAGCCGAATTGGGGAACTTGGGCCCAGGGCACGCGCCCCCGCTCACCTGTAGCGTTGCAGCTCCGCCTCCAGCCGCCGCACCCAGCGCTGCAAGCCGGGCACCTGTTGCGCCAGCGCCTCCAGCTCTCGCACGCGGTGCAGGCTGCGCAGCACCACCTGCCGGGCCTCCTCCGCGCGCCGCCGCACCTCGGCCTGGCCACGGCGCAGCCGCCCAGCGCGGGCCTCCGCCGCAGCCAGGGCGCCCTGCGCCTGACGCAGCTCCCGCACCGCAGCCTCCGGCCCGCCGTGCCCCATCTCGTGGGTGCTCGCCTGGCTCTTCCAGAGTCCGACCTGCGGGGACAGGGCAGCAGGGGCAGGGGGTAAGTGCCCCAGCCAGATGCACCAGACGAACGCCCGCCACGACGGCGGCCCCATGCCTCTGCACCCAGAAGCGCTTGAGCACGTTTCTTGCGCCGTCTGCTTCCGGGTGCCAGGCCCTTAGGTCCGGTGCGTCCAAGCTCCTTTAACCCTCGCCACATCCCCAGGGAGGCCCAAGCTCTGATTCCTCCTCATCCCCCACCCCCCAACGTTTTTTCACTGAAGGAAACTGAGACACGACGCCTGTATTCTGTTCCCTCTATAGTACCAACCTCGCGACTCTTCTCGGCCTACTGTATTGGCGGCGTTCAGCCTGCCGGGTGGCGGTTCCTCATCTCCTAGACTCCCCCCAGTGGCATTTCCAGCCCTCCCCGTGCCTGCTCACTAGAGGCTTTTGAGGGTGGTTTCTATCTGTCTTTACTGGTGTGTTCCCAGAGCCTAAAACAAACCTGGCACATAGTAGGTGCTCAATAAATACCAAGCATGAGAGATGCCGGAAGACCGTTCAGGCGCATCCCATGGCTCCCAGTACGTTACTTGGGATTCCACATCAGAGGAGTAGTTTCCCGCCTCCACCCTGGCTTCCATGCACACTGACACTGAAAACCACACCTTGCCACTTCCCTGCACTCTGCAGTGTCCTGAGCTAAGGCGGGGTCATATAATGTCAGTTTCTTCCTGGCCTGTTGTCGCCTGGGGTAGGGGCTGTTCCTTTCCTCCTCTGACCCCTGCGGCCCAGCACTGCCCTTGGTGCTCGGCTGGCACAGTGCTTAAGTGTTTGTCGACGGCTCCCAGATGCTAAGGCTGGGTCCCTATCTCACCCCATGGTTTCTTCTCAATAGCCCAGAGCGGGTCTGGTTCCCGCAGGCACTTGGTGGCCCGTGAGTGCCTGATCCACAGTGTGAGCCACATTGTCTGTTTCTCACTTGTCTCTGTTTCTCCCACAGGGAGCCCCATAAGTCTTTGCTGATTGACAGAAGGAGCTGTCAGTCTACCCCAGGAGGCAGGGATATCCCTAAAGGTGAGGACAGGGCCTTCTTCACACTTCTGTCTCCTAAACCTCCCAGAAGCCTGGCAGGAAGGAGAGAGAAAGATGCTTGTTGAAAGGGAATATGTGAGACTACCCAGACAGGTGCAATTCCTAGGTTAAAGGGGCAAGACGCGATGATGTGGCGGTGGAGCAGAAAAGTGGGGTATGGTTGTTTGAGTGTGATTGGGGTTTTCAGGAATGGAATAGGTGGTAAGAATAGGGTTGGGGACTGGAGTGGAATGGGGAGGAACAGGGGCAAGATGCAAGTGTGCTGATGCGGAGTGGGATGGTGTGGGGCTGCCCTCTGTCTCCCCTTCCTCTGACTCTGTCCTGTCGGGCTCCGCAGCCAGCCAGCTTTTAGTTCGAGCCCTCTCCCGGGCGTTACCACCCTCCCTTCGTGGCCGGCGCGCACCTGCAGTGCTAGGCAGCGCGCATCACTGCTCTGCAGCGCGGCGCGCAGGTCCTCCACCAACTCGCGCAAGCTGCTATTCTCCTCCTCCAGCCGCGCAACGCGCTCACAGTCAGGACCGCTGTCGGGGCCAGGCGCGCAGGGCGGGCGGCGGCGGCGGCGCGGACGGCGCAGGCGGATCTGCGTCTCGATGTGCTCGCTGAGAGCGCCGCGGGGCAGCCGGGGCCCCGCACGGGTGCCGAAGTAGCCACAGAGGCGCGCGTGGAACTGGCGGAAGGTGAGCTCCGGCGGCTCGGCGCGCAGCGCCAGGCGCGCCTCTTCATCGGTATCTGAGTCCCCGTCCGTGGCCAACTCAGCGGCCGCATCCCCGGGGGTCACATCTCTGGAGTTCCCGTCACCTGCTGCCTGCCCGGCCGTGGTGGCCCCCTCCGCGCGCAGCCCCAGCACAGCGCAGAGCGCTCGGAAGTCGGCGCGGGGCAGACGGCCGGCGCCGCGGCAGTCCAGGTGGTGGAAGACCTCCTGCAGGTACTGGTCCAGGCCGGTGGCCAGCACCACGATCTCGTTCTCCACGCCGCGGTCCAGCCCGTAGTGGTGCGCCAGGGCGCTCAGCAGCCACTGCGTGCGCCGCGCAGGTCGCCGGTACGGGTCACCTCCCGCGCCCTCCATGCCGGCCTCCGCGCCCGTGCTGACCGGCTCCATCGCTGCGCCGCGCGCCTCGCTCCTCCGGTCCCTCCTCCGGTCCCTTCGCCCCGCCACTTCCAGGGGCGGCCCCAGAGTTTCTCGAAAGGAGGGGCTTAGCGGTCGCGGTCTGGTTGGAGCGGCGCCGGGGACCGTGTCCAGCAGCTGCGCTGGCCTCACAGTGCGTCTGGTTTACCCCAGTTGCTTTGGAGGGGCCTGGGGTAGGGGGTCCAGGAACCCCCGGGACCCCGGCAGCGCCACCAGTGCCCGGTCGGCGTCTGGGTCTGGCTTCTCCGCGTGACTCCCACGCTCTCCTCTCCTCACTCACGGGGCGTTCCTGGCGTCTGCGCTTTTCCTCCCACTCCCGGCCGTCCACTCTCAACTCCCTCCTCCCTCCGCCCCGCCCGCCTGGCGCGGAGAGTTCGCTCCGAGACCTGGGCGAGGGGTTGGCGCGGGATCCGAAGCCCAGGAGGGCCTTGGGGGTGGCGGCCTCGTCCGGTTGCTGGGGATGTGCCCCCACACCCAAGCGTCACTCTTCCCCCTCTTCCCGGAAGGCCTTTCGAGGGTTGCCTGGCAAGCCTGCTCTCGCCGCCCTGTAGCCGTAGGTGCGGAAAAGCCTCCCCTCCGCTTCAATTCAGCTACTGGGTTTCCGAACCCACTTCTTGTGCCACCATAGACCGTGCAAAGAGCCCCAAGTAGTAACTGGGAAAGAGAGGGAAACAGGCTTGGAGAGGCAAGGGGTCTAGGTTAGGGGCACCCCGCTGGTGAGAAGCCCATCTGAGACGAGCCCTGTGCTAACTGCTCTCTCCCGATCCCTGTTGGGGGTGGGGATAGGACTCTCGGGAAAGTGGTGTCTCCCGGCCCTGCCACCTTTGTGCCTGCCGGTGCTGACTTGGCAATGGGATCCGAGTTCCATCTCTTGAGCTGGGGTTAGGTTAACAGGTCGATGATTGGCTGATGTTTTTTTCTGGTGTTTTAGAACACATTTCTGGAAGATGAAGAAAAACCTGCTTCTCTGGTGAGTGCTAGACTGTGTTCCCTTTCTTTTTCACGAGAGGGGTGCAGTGATATTGTGATATTGTCCACCTGTTACCTGCACCGGGAACGGTTATCCAGCCACGGTACCCAGCCATGTTGGAGCAAGAGGCAGACTCTTCAGCTGTTCCTAGCTATGACAGAGACAGAATCTTGCCTTGTGGATAACTCTGTGAGTTTAAATGTAAAATCTTGCCGTTTGAAAAGCGATAGCATTCTGTCTCCTCTGCCACAGTATCCCAGAATCAGCACGTTGTCCATTTGGCAAATTCGTACTTGTTCTTGAAGGCTTTGCCCAGAGTACATATCTGCTGGGAAGGAGTTAGAGGCTTCTCCCCAAGCATTTTGGACATATTCTTTTAGGTTTGTTTTTAATTATAAAAGTAATGGCAATTTGACAAAGTTTTTACATCACGTCCACTTCTTGGCTTCTACCTTCGAAAGCCACTGTGCACAGGATGTTCACTGCATCATTGTTTATTACAGTGAGAAACTGGAGACAACCTGGTGTCCATCAAATCAGCTAGGACTCAGCAAACGAGGATGAGCGGACACAGCAAGCCACAAGCTGATTATGCACAACACTGATGCTTACATAACAAGAACAAAAACACACAAAACAATACTAAGTATTTTCTACTAGGACATGTGTATGTGAGTGCACAGAAGAAGATGGAGGGATTCATAAGTGGATTCAGTGGTTCTTTCTGCAGATGGGAGACACTGCAGTATTTCCCTTTTGTTAAGATGTTCTCATGTGTTTCTTTTTCTTGGCCGGTCGCGGTGGCTCACGCCTGTAATCCCACCACTTTGGGAGGCCGAGGCGGGTGGATTGCCTGAGGTCAAGAGTTCGAGAACAGCCTGGACAACATAGTGAACCACCCCCATCTCTACTAAAAATACCAAAAGTTAGCTGGGCGTGGTGGCAGGCGCCTGTAATCCCAGTTACTTGGGAGGCTGAGGCAGATGAATCGCTTGAACCTGGGAGGCGGAGGTTGCAGTAAGCTGAGATCCTGCCATTGCACTCCAGCCTGGGCGACAGAGCGAGACTCCGTCTCAAAAAAAAAAAAAAAAAAAAAAAAAGAACCTGATTTTATTTCATGTCAGCCCTAAGAGCTGGTAGCCCAGGCAAGAGTGCAACACCCTCCCCACCCCCCATCCCTGCAGCTGGTGAAGGAATCCTTTGAACAGTAGCTTTCCTGGGCCAGTCAATATTGAAAAGAAAGCTTTTAAATGTCTTGCTGGGAGCCGTTGCCGGCCTCCACTCCCCTACAGCTCAGGGAAGTAAGGGTTGATAATGGTTTGCTGTCAGGCCTGTCTGTCTGCCCTGCGGTGTTACCAGGCACCTCTGAAATAATTCTGGTTGCATCCACAAGGTTTTTGTTTAAGGTTCAAAGTGAGCAAACTCAGAGGTCTCCTTGCGTTCTTTTGTATGAGCTGGGGGGATGGGCGTGTGTCTGTGTGGGAGAGAGTCAGGGCTGTGGCAAAGAAATGATTTTCTGAAGTCAGTTCAGTATTGTTTGAGCCATTTCAAATAGTATATTGTTTAAAGTGTCTTTTAAAGGTCCGGGAAAATGCTAAAAAGCAAAAATCATCCACCATTCTGCCACCAAGAGAGGATCACTGTGTATTTCTGATGTATTTATTTCCAGACTTTTCTATGTATTTGGGCATGAAAGAACTTTTTGGAGTGATTGAAATACTCTATCTTCATGGTGTAGTGGTTGCATGACTGTGTACATCTGAATTTTACAGTGTGCAAATCGTAGCTCATTCAACTTGACATGAAAAGCACAGTGGAAAGGGCGCCATTGGGATCTTTCTTTGCACAGGAACTGAGCTTTGTAAACAGCTTGGCTGTGGTTTCTTTGCAGACACTGCTCCAGAGGCTGCTCTGTGCTCCCTGGGGATGAACTATAAGGTGCTTTGTCATCCCCCACAGATGCCCACTGAGGTGGTTTTCAGCTTTTCTCCGCAAAAACCATACTGTGAACAGTTTGTGCCATATCTTGAGTGATTTATTACTGGGCCAAGGAGTATACATATTTTATAAGCTTGTGGTATTATCAGCCTGTTTTTTGGAAACTTGTGTTGTTCTATCCAGAGCCCAGAACTGTCTGGGAATGTCCTTGGGCCATTATTTTCAGTGTCATAAAGCTTTTGGGTTTTTAGGGGTCTTGGTTAGTAGATTTGCTTAGTGTTCAGACACCAAGCTTTACTTCTATTAAAAATAGGCCTGTTGTTAGTCAAAGATTTCTTAGATACGACACCAAATGCATGATCCAAAAAAGAAAAAAATGATGAATCGGACCTTCATCAAAGTTCAAAACATTTGCACTTCAAAAGACACTATTAAGAAAATATGACGAACAAGAGACTAGGAGAAAATATTTGTAAAACATATGCCCAGTAAAGGACTTATATTCCGAATTTACAATGAACTCTTAACAACTCAGTAACAAGAAGACAAACAATCCAATCAAAAAGTGGGTGAAGATACAAACAGACATTTCACCAAAGAAGTTGTATAAATAGCCAACATGTGCATAAAACAATCTCAGTATTCTTGTTAGGGAAATGCACATGAAAACTATGATGAAATACTATATTATACTCATGAGAATAGCTGTAGTGAATAAAACAGGCAATAAATCTTGTCAAGAATTTGGAGAAACAGGAAACTTCATGTTGTTGATGGGAACACAAAATGATGCAGCCCCTGTGGAAGATAGTTTGGCAGTTTCTCAAGAAGTTAATCACAAAATGACCATACGACCCAACTCTTCCACTCCTAGATATCGACCCAAGAGAGATGAAAACACATCCACACAAAGACTTGTGTGGGAATGTTCATAGCAACGTTGTTCATAAATGTCTAAATGCCCAAGCCAAATGCCCATTAACTGATGAATGGATAGGCAAACTGTGGTCTGTCCATACAATAGAATATTATTCAGTCATGAAAAGGAATGAAATACTGACACATGCCTCAACATAAATAAACCTTGGAAACATAACGGTAGGTGAAAGAAACCAGTCACAAAGCCAGAACACAGTGTCTGACTCAATTTATAGGAAATGTCTAGAAAAGGCCAATTTTTAGAAACAAAGTAGATATGGTTGCCTAGGACTGGGAGTTGGAACAGAGATTAATTATAAATGTGCATGAAGTCTTATTAGGGGGATGAAAATGTTCTAAAATGAATTTATGATGATGATTACAGCACTAGGTAAAGTTACTGAAAATCATTGAATTCTACGCTTGAAATGGATGGATTTTATTAAATAAAAAATACTTCAATAAAGCTGTTAAAAATGGGGAAGGGGCAAGAAGAAGGTGTATGTAGCTGATTCCCAATATGCTTCCAGCTGCCAGAGTCTTGGGATAGCTTCAGGAAGGCCTCTACATAGCCTGTGGGAGCTTGGGAACCCTCCACCCGGCAGAGTAAGGATGAAGGGATGGATTGTTCAGTGACCTTGAACACCTCCTGCCCCTGGATGCTTGTCCCTCTGCTTACCAGATGTACAGTCCATGTCTTCATCCCCTTGAAGTGGGGCCAGCCTCATGACTTGCTTTGGTTAATGGCATGTAGCAGAGTGACATGGTGCTGGTTCCACGCCTAGGTCCCAAGAGGCCTTGCAACTTCTTCTTTGCCCTCTGGGATCCCTGCTCTGAGAATGCCATCTGAGGAAGCCAGGCCGGGCTATGAGGAGATGAGGCACCACATAGAAGGAAGCTGGTGTACCACTGGGGGCGGGGGAACCCATGGAGGGGAACCAGCGGGCCCACGAAGAGCCAGCAGCAACTGCCAGACATGCAAGTGAGGACTTCTGGCAGCTTCCAGCCATGTTGGTCCTCCAGCTGAGCACAGCATAGGGAGTGAGCCCAGGCGAGGCCAGCAGAGAACTACTCAGCTGATGCATGGAGTGGTGAGAAATAACAAGTGTTTGTTTGACACCATTAAGTTTGGGGATGGTTTTTACTCAGTAACAGATAACTGAAACAGAAGCCCCCCTTCCTTTGCTTCTGATCTGCCAGCCCTGAAGCCATCTTCACTGAGGTAGGGTTGTAGACCCACCACTGTCTCATACCTGAGTAGTGGGTAGCACACCTTTGCCCTCACTTCATCCTGTGATGCCCTAGGTCTTGACCCAGACACCATCTCTCTCAGGGCAGTGGTTCCATATTCTGGTTGTGCAATACAATCTTGGTGGTAATTTAAAAATATGGCTCCCGTTCCTATTATTTATTGCACAACAAATCACCCCAAAACTTAGTGGTTTAAGAGAGCAACAATTTGCTTATAAATCTACAATTTCTCATGATGGAGACAGCTTGTTTCTGTTCCTCAATGTCAGCCAGGGTGGCTCAAAGACTGAGGGCTGGGATCATTTGAAGTCTTGCACTCTCATATGTCTGGGGGTTGAGGCTGCAATTGGCTGGGAACCGTCAGTCACAACAGTTTCATGTGGCCATTTCACATGGCTGCTTGGGCTTCCTCACAACATGCTAGCTGGATTCCTAGCATGAATACTATACCTCAAAAGAACAGGGCAGAGGTAGATGGAATTTATATGACCTGGCCTCAGAAATCACATAGTGTCATTTCCTCTGCACTCTTTTGACTGAGCCAGTCACAGAGGTCTGCCCAGTTTCCAGAGAAGGAGACTAGACCCCCCAACTGGGTGGGAGGAATGTGAACCTCACAATGCCTGCCGGAAGATTATGTGGGAGGGGATCTTTTGAGGTGGCTGTCTTTGGAAAATACAATCTGCCACTGGTTTCTAAGCTCCACCCCTGGAGAGTCACTTCCACAGGTCTTTAATGAAGCCTCAGAATTGTATTTTTGACATGTAGGTGTTTCCAGTGCACATCCAGGATGGCACATTGGCCCTTGGTCCAAGACCTCTGGCCTCTCACTATTGAGCTTGGGAAGAGATTGGCTTCTGTCCTAGGTGGTGATGTGATCTAGGAACCTTTGGAGGGAAACCAGCCTCAGGCCAGTGGGTAGGACCTGGGGAGCAGGAGGCCTGATGTCTGTCCAAGAGTGGTGGTAGTGTTGAACTGCCCTTGTTAAAGGGCCCTTTTGGGGGCTGGTGTATCTGAGTAGCTTTGTATTCTTCCAGCCCTTCATGTGTCTCCTGAGCACTTCCTGGCATACAGACAGCAGTCTCCAGGCTGCTGCAGGTGGGGTGTGGGCAAGGTGGTTGCCGTTCTCGTGCTAAGAGTTTGAACCCACTCCTCACAGGGCCCACTGCCATTTGGTGTCTTCCCTAACAGCTGTACTTGAGGCTGTTTTTCAGACTGAACCCGAGGAGTATTGGAGCACCCAGTATTAAAGGGGCTGTCCCATGCCCTGAGAGCGGTCTGGGGAGGCATGCACTGGGAGGCTCAGGACTTGGGTCTCAGCCCCAGCTGCGCCACAGTTTTGCTCTTTGACACAAAGTAGGTCATAGCTCAACTCAGCTAAAGTTTTCTTAATAGCCAAGCTTGTGTGTAGCCTCAGCTCCCATTCTCTTGAACAAACTGACTGCCGGAGCAGGGTGCCCTCCCTCAACAGAAGACCTGCCTTGGCTCCCCATTGCCCATAGTCCTGTGCCCTAACCTGCCCTGTGGGGCTATGTACCATGGGCCCTGCACACTGCTACAGCCTCGCCACCCATTCCTGAAACTTGCCATGCCCTTTCACCTCTATGGGCCTTTGCATATGCTGTTCCTCTACCTGGGATGCTTTCTCTTGCTTTCACCGCCTCTGCCTAGTCACCCCCCAGATTTGGCGTTGCTCACTTCCTCCATGAGGCCTACCCCAGCCCTCTGTCCCAGCCGCTTGCTGTGCTGAGGTCCTCTACATTAGGAGCCGCAGCCAGGGCTCTCAGCTTGGGTGGTTTAGCAGACGAGCGGAGGCTTTGGAGTCAGGCAGTCCGGATTTCAACACAGTGCTGCGCCCTACTTGCTGTGTGACCTCGGGCGAATCGCTTCACCTCTCTAAGCTTTGTTTTCTGATCTCTGAGTTGGCGCTCATGATCACTAACAAGAATTCTCATGCTATTTTAAGGACATCAGCGACAGAAGCAGAGAATCTAATGAGAGGGATCGTGGGGAGGTCTGGTTTTTAAGGACATCGGCGACAGAAGCAGAGAATCTAATGAGAGGGATCGTGGGGAGGTCTGGAGTTTGCAGAGCCCACAGCTTCCTTTGCTTTTATTAAAGAATGGGAGGTGGGAGCTGATGGAGGGGGAGGAAGGAGCCATCAACCCCTACCTCCCATCGTACGGGCAAGGACCAGGCTTATAGTAGGTGCTGACGTTCCGAGTAGAAACTCCTTAATGAGTGAATGCATGAGTGAAGGAATGAAGGCAGCTGGTTTCTGAACCTGGATGTAGCCATTTGACAAACTGCGCGCAGTGGCTGAGGGGGAAAGCCCCGCCCCGCGGAGCCCCGCCCCCAGGCCGCACGCCCTCGCGTCTCCTAGCAACCGCCAAACGTAGCTGAGTGGCTGGGCCTGCGGCCCTCCCTGCACCGGCGGACGCTCCTCTCAGTCTTGGAGTCTCTTCGCCCAGGTGGCTGTGGATCCGGTACGGGAGTTGCCGCCGCGGTCCAACTCCCCGCTGCCGCCCAGCGCATCCGCTCGCAGGTACCGCCAGCACCTGGAGGGGAACCCCGACCCCTGCCCCCACCTCGGCCGCCGCAGCCCGGGACTCTTCCCGCCTCGCCTCGATGCGTGTTCCCTCTTCGGCGTTTGCCCGGCGTTCCGCCTCCATGGGCCTGAGCTGATGCCCCGAGCCCAGCACCCAGTGCACATTCATGTTCTGTCTTGGGGACAGGGCTTGCCCTCCCCGACCTCGCCAGGCTCCTGCACGTGCTGCCCCCGGCCTGGTTTGCCTCTCCCCAAATAGCAAACGCATCTTGTGCTTAGGCGCAGCAGGCCTGCCTGAGCAGACGTCCCCTCTCCCGCCTGGTGGCTCCCGGGAGCTGCTCACCTGGGGCAGGCATTCCAGAAGCCCGGCGACTGACTCCTGGTTAGGCGAAGGAAACGGGGTTGCTCGTCGTCGTGCTTACTGCCAGCCACCCTTATCTGTTGTTCCTTCATCCATTCATTCTCTAAGTCGATTGAGTACCGACTGTGTGGCAGGCAGTGAAGGAGCCCCGGCGTTCATCTAGGAGCAGGCGGGGGAAGCAGGGAAGAGAAGGGTGGGTGCTTCTGCAGGAGGCCGGGCTTACCTCCTGGAGCAGCCCTGGAATACAGGCGGGGACAGCCTTCACTTTCTCCCTGCCAGGAGCGCCGGCGGCCAGCAGTGCGCTCTGCAGCATGTCGCTACATGCCTGGGAGTGGGAAGAGGACCCCGCAAGCATAGAGCCCATCTCCTCCATCACTAGCTTTTACCAGTCCACGAGCGAGTGTGACGTGGAGGAACACCTGAAGGCCAAGGCCAGGGCCCAGGAGTCTGACTCTGACCGCCCGTGCAGCAGCATCGAGTCCTCATCTGAGCCTGCCAGCACTTTCAGCTCCGACGTGCCCCACGTGGTCCCCTGCAAATTCACCATCTCACTGGCCTTCCCTGTGAATATGGGTAGGTGCTAGAGCAGAAGTTTAACACCCTCTGAAAAAAGGAGGTGCATGACTTTCTGCAGGAGTTTAGGGCGCATACACCCCACATCCTCTCTCCACCTGCCCCACCCCAAAGCGGGCTGGCCAGTGCCAGCCAGGAGCAGAGGTTGAAAAGAAACAGCAATTTTAGGAGAGGCCCAACTGTGGCTGCATCAGCTTCACATACTTAATCCTCTCAACAACCCTAAAGCAGGTGATGTTCTGTCTGCTTTTTACAGAAGAAAAAAAAACCATGGAGAGGTTAAGGCATTGATTCTCATAAGCGCTTGTGCATCACCTAATACCTTGTTTAAAATACATTTTCCGGGAGTCTGAGGCAGGAGAGTCTCTTGAACCCCGGAGGTGGAGGTTGTGGTGAGCAGAGATCACGCCATTGCACTCCAGCCTGGGCAACAAGAGCAAAACTCTGTCAAAAAAAAAAAAAATAATAATTCTTTTTTTATTGAGATGGAGTCTTGCTCTGTCACCAGGCTGGAGTGCAGTGGTGCGATCTCAGCTCACTGCAACCTCAGCCTTCCGGGTTCAAGCAATTCTCGTGCCTCAGCCTCCCAAGTAGCTGGGATTACAGGTGCACGCCACCACACCCATCTAATTTTTGTATTTTTAGTAGAGACTGGGTTTCACCATGTTGGCCAGAATGGTCTCGAACCCCTGACCTCAGGTCATCCTCCTGCCTCAGCCTCCCAAAGTGCTGGGATTACAGGCATGAGCCACCGCACCCGGCCAAAAAATACATTTTCTCTGATCTGTTGAATCAATCTCTGAATGTAAAGGTGTATCAATTAGCTATTGCCACAAAAATGCGGTGCAACAAACCCAAACAAGCCCCCAAGCTCATGGCTGCACACAGGAACCTGAGGTTCTCCTGGAGGTGCTGGGCGCTGGTCTAGGCTGGGTTCTGCAACAGCTCAGCTCTGCTTCATGCTGCTCCTTTTCCTCCTGGACCAGTGGGCTATCCTAGACCCCTTCTTGTTCTAGAAACACGGACACACAGGAGGGCAAGCCTAGCCCCACAAACACTCCTCAAGTCTTTGAGTGTCTCCCACCTGCTAGCATTTTATTGGCCAAACCAAGTCACATGGTTCCAGCCCAATATGAGGGGAGGAGACAAGTAGTACTTCACATCTTGATAGACCTTGCTTTGTTTTGTTTTCATCTGCTTACTTGAACTAGCCCACCATTATGATTTCAACTTCTCCTGGTATTCTGTCGATGGTGTAAGTTTCTTGTATGGGTTGGAACCCCGAGAGCGCACCAACAGACAACACGAGGCGGTGTGGAGCAACATGCTGTTTCAATGAACGCCTTGGTGCAGGCCGGCTGAGGCCTAAAATGGCGTCAGCCCCAAGTGAGGACGGGGCAAAGGTTTTATAGTCTCCTGTAAACAGGAAGTGTCCTAGTCTGGCGTAACTGCTACGCTGTACCCGGATGGCCTCTTTCTCATCTTCATGTCTTCCGGCCAGGGTAGGTGTATTCCAGCCGGCTCTCCTCCTGCTTCTGCTATTTTGCTGGTGCACGCTGCTGACGTAAGTGACCTTACGCCTTGGGACTAGGCTTGAGAAGGGAGGAGTTATTCATCTCCTTAAGCTTTCAGGCCCTGGGGAGAGTCTTACAGATGGTTGCTTCAGCTATTTTGGAGGCCGACTGGTTGGGTGTATAGTATGTTTAGAACTGCTCCATCTTCTTGGTGAACTGAACTTTTTGTCATTTTATGGTGACCATTCCTGTCTAAAATGATGCCTTTACTCTTGGGTCTATTGCTATAAAGCAAAAGAGCCTGGAAAAAGACATCTGGCAAATACCAACCAAAAGAAAATTGGCACTTGACCTCCTTTAGCCCTCATCTCTTTCACAGCATCTTCTAAGCATGTTTTTGTTTTTGTTGTTGTTGTCCTCTAAAGGCATTTATAAAATGGATCTCTGTGGGGCAAAACTTCATGAGACCTTGTGTGCCTAAGAGTATTTTTTTATCATGCCAATACCTTTAAATGACATACCTTCGGCTCTACATAAAATTCTAGTTTAATTTTTTTTTCCTTCAATACCTGAGTATTTACAGATGAGTACATAAATGTTTCTTTATATAAATTATTTATTTATTTATTTTTGAGACGGAGTCTTGCTCTGTTGCCTAGACTGGAGTTCAGTGGCACAATCTCGGCTCACTGCAACCTCCACCTCCCAGGTTCAAGCAATTCTCCTGTCTCAGCTTCCCAAAGTAGCTGGGACCACAGGCACATGCCACCACGCCCAGCTAATTTTTGTATTTTTAGTAGAGATGGGGTTTCACCATATTGGTCAGGCCGGTCTTGAACTCCTGACCTTAGGTGATCCACCCGCCTTGGCTTTCCAAAACGCTGGAATTACAGACGTGAACCACCACGCCCGACCTATAAATTGTTTATTTCAGAGAAATGAGATCCTACAACTTACTTTAAAATGTTTTGACATGATTTAGATTATCTTTGAGAATATGATCAAGGATACTTGTTTTTGTTTGTTTGTTTTTAGACAGAGTCTCTCTCTGTCACCCAGGCTGGAGTACAGTGGCGCGATCTTGGCTCACTGCAACCTCCGCCTCCTGGGTTCAAGCGATTCTCCTGCCTCAGCCTCCCAAGCAGCTGGAACTACAGGCACATGCCACCATGCCCAGCTAATTTTTGTATTTTTAGTAGAGACGGGGTTTCGCCATGTTGGCCAGGCTGGTCTGGAACTCCTGACCTCAGATCATCCTCCTGCCTGGGCCTCCCAAAGTGCTAGGATTACAGGCATGAGCCACTTTGCCTGGGCAAGGATACTTGTTTTAATTTTGTTGTTTCATTTTAAACACCTATATATTAACAGTATTCCATTATATGTCTCTAATTTATCCTACCCCTTATTGGTGGATATTTGAGTTGTTTCAAATGTTTTTCTGTTGCAATTCTGCGATAGACATTCTTTACGTCCATTTTTGTGCATATATGTGGGCACTTCTGTTGCCTGTATTCCAAGAAGTAAATTTGCTGGATTGAAGGCATGTATTAATAGTTTTTGATAGATATTGTCAACTTCCCCTTTAAAAGGGCTAAATAACTTGCCTTTCTGTCTACAGAAAATGAGAGGCTCTGTTTGTCCACTTGCTGGCCCACCTGGGATTGAATCAGAAAAGGTCTAATGCTACCAGAGACTGGCAGGAGAAGCTTCACTCCAATCTCTGCACAAATGCTAACTATTTTGGTAGCAGAAAAATTAATGCTGCAGCAGTCTCCTGGGGTTAAAAATTTAGACTTTAAAAACTACAGCTTTAAAGACAGTCATGTTTTTATAGAATGATATTTGGATTAAATGTTTATGGAGCTTCTTATGATGTGAAAAGCCCCAACCTAGAGTGTGCAGTTTAAGCTGGAGTGTAAGCAACCAGGGGTGGGGTCAGGGGGCTCCTTGGGCTCTGGACTCTGGCAGAAGCCCATCTGTACCTTCCACATCCTGTCACCCTATCCACCCCGCATTGGGTAGCTTCACCCATGACATTTTTGTGAAGCTGCTTTCTCTGTCTGTCTGGAATATCTGCCAGCTTTGCTCCTCTAAGACTCTGCTAAGGTCCCCCTGGGAGGCCCACCCCACCCTCCCCATGCAGAGTTTTCTCCTCCACCTTCGTTCTTCACAACCTTGTTCCTGCTGCTATTATTGCACAAATCACATTGTACTGTGATTTTTTTTTTTTTTTTTTTTTACCTGCTTCTTAGGGCCAGGAGGGACCAGGGTAAGGCAAGTATGGCGTCTCTCCTAATAACATCTGGCCTGGCCATGTGATTTCACTTTAACTCTATCACCTTTTTAACCCTAGGCCTACTAACCAACACTCACTCTCCAACTGAGACACTCACTCTGAAAACCATGCACCTAAATTTTGCACTCAGGTGCCCAGTCCAGGTCGTGCTACTCTGCTGGCTAGGAGCACTGGACCTGTACCTCCTTCCCCAAGTCGGGCAGGCAATGTGGAGTGCTCAGCCTCTCACAACATCAAGCTCCAGGGAACTGGGGAGACGGGTCTGCTTTTCCACATGAGGTTAAAACGAGACTTTTTCAATCTGTATCTTCAAGGTCAGAAGGGAAAATATGCAAGTTTGATTGAAAAATATAAGAAACACCCTAAAACAGACAGTTCTGTTACAAAGATGCGTCGTTTTTACCACATTGAGTATTTCCTTCTGCCGGACGATGAAGAACCTAAAAAAGTTGACATATTGCTATTTCCAATGGTGGCCAAAGTATTCCTGGAGTCAGGAGTAAAGGTGCGTGTGTGAGTGTGTGTGGCCTTGTGTATGGTCTGATGCTCATCACGAAAAGTGTGCTGCTCCATGGATATGCAACATCAGCTCCACCTCCAGCTTGCTAGAATTGGAGGATCCCGGGCCCCACCTCCTGAGTGGGAATCTGCACTGGCCTGATCATTCCAATTACTGACTTTTTTTTTTTTGTTGAGTCAGAGTCTTGCTCTGTTGCCCAGGCTGGAGTAGAGTGGTGCAATCTTTGCTCACCACAACCTCTGCCTCCCGGTTCAAGCAATTCTCATGCCTCAGCCACCTGAGTAGCTGGAATTACAAGCACGAGCCACCATGCCCAGCTAGTTTTTGTACTTTTAGTAGAGACGGGATTTCACTATGTTGGCCAGGCTGGCTTCGAACTCCTGACCTCAAGTCATCCTCCCGCGTTGGCCTCCCTAAGTGCTGGGATTACAGGCGTGAGCCACCGCACCTGGCCTATTTTTTATTTAGATATTTTACCCAGTAATTTCCAGAATGTTTCAAAAGTTTTTGTAGTTCTTGAGATTTCTTTTTTCTGTGTGTGTGCATGTGTGCAGACGTGTGTGTGCATGTGTGTGTACACACTACCTGCACACACACACTCCTGCCAGTGGTTTGGCCCTGGGTCATTGCTTAGAAGCAATCGAGGAGGATGCTATTTGCAGGTAATTACTTTGATTTTATTCTTCCTAAGGAATTCAAAAGTCTGACAGGGCCCAGCACACAACGCCCCATTTTCCCTGAGCTCAGAGCCTGGAGAGTGACCAGGCACTGAAGTCAGGCAGCGCTGCTGCTGAGGGCCAGGCTGGGGCTGGGGCTTGCTCTGTTCGCCACGGCCTTTGCACATCTTTCCCCAGTTGACATCTCTGAATGTTGTTTTACACAGACTGTGAAGCCGTGGCACGAAGGTGACAAAGCCTGGGTGTCGTGGGAGCAGACTTTTAATATCACTGTGACAAAGGAATTATTAAAGAAAATAAATTTCCACAAAATCACCTTGAGGCTCTGGAACACTAAAGACAAGATGTCAAGAAAAGTCAGATATTACCGATTAAAGACTGCCGGCTTCACAGACGACGTGGGAGCTTTTCATAAGTCAGGTGCTCTGGTTTTATTTGAAATGGTTCTGGAAGCCTGGGGCTTACTCACTAGTAACAGCATAAAAGCCAGTGTCTCCTGGTTTCCTTCATCTAATTGGCATGTGCACACACGGGTTTTGCAGATGTTGCAGGGCATCCCACCAGGCCATGCTGTGGTGACAGGAAGCGCCACATAGGGGAGTGAGGGTGTGGTGGGCAGTGTTCTTGAAACTCCACCTTTTGGGCCCTTTCATTCCAGGGCAGCTCTGACACAGGCACCCATCACCGGTCTGGACTAGTATTATATGTTCACTGAAAAAAAAAAACAAAAAACAAACTTAGAGGATACCAAGGAACAAAAGAGAAAACTTAAAAATCCCACCACCCCAAGCCAATTGTCTTAAGAGTCTCATGTAGACTCTTCCAGACTCATTTGTGTAAATATATCAATATCAGAAAGTCTTTTTTTTTCTTTCGAGATGGAGTCTCGCTCTGTCGCCCAGGCTGGAGTGCGGTGGTGCGATCTCGGCTCACTGCAACCTCTGCCTCCCCAGTTCAAGCCATTCTCCTGCCTCAGCCTCCTGAGCAGCTGGGACTCCAGGCATGCGCCACCACGCCCGGCTAATTTTTGTGTTTTTAGTAGAGACGGGGTTTCGCCATGTTGGCCAGGCTGGTCTCGAACTCCTGACCTCAGGTGATCCACCCACCTTGGCCTCTCGAAGTACTGGGAACACAGGTGTGAGCTACTGTGCCCAGCCAATGTCAGAAAGTCTTTTGAACTCATTTTGAAGGAGAGAGCCAGGAGGGATGGAAAGATGCAGGCTTTGAAGCCAGACGGTAGAATTCAGTCCTGTCTCCATCTTGTACTTGTTGGTGACTTGGGCATGTTCCTGAACATACGTTTCTCATCTGCAAAAAAGGAAAAATAACTAGTACCTGCTTCACTGGAATACTGGAGGCAGGTTGACCGGCGTGGTCTACCTGGGTGCAAGCAATGAGGGTGTGCATTGTCTATAGAAAATTTAAGAACTGTAATTAAATGCTACTAACTAAACTATGACATGGCATTAATTGTAAGATGCATCCTGATGCTTAGAGATGTTAAAAATTAAAAAAAGGCAGGTACAGTGGCTCATGCCTGTAATCCCAGCACTTTGGGAGGCTGAGGCAGGAGTTTGAGACCAGCCTGGGTAACGTGGCAAGACCCTGTCTCTATAAAAAATTTAAAAATCAGCCCAGCATGGTGACGTGCTCCTGTAATTCTAGCTTCTTGGAAGGCTGAAGTGGGAGGATTGCTTAATCCTGGGAGGTCGAGGCTTCAGTAAGCTGTGTTTGTACGACTGCACACCAGCCTGGGTGATGGAGCAAGACCTTATCTCAAAAAAAAAAAAAAAAAGTAAAACAGATGTACATATTAGAATCAATGATATATGGTACTATTATCGTTGTCAGCACCTTCCAGACGAGTATAATTATCCTCAATTTTGTGTGGCTGGAAAGCCTTGCTTTTCTCTGATTTTCCAGCCCACCTTCTCAAGGAGCCTTTCTGACCTTGGAGGCTTGGAACTTCCCACTTTCAGTCTTTCATTTATGTCCAGGGTTTCTTACTCTTGGCACTATTGACATTTTGGGCCAGATAATTCCTCGCTGTGGGGGCTGTTCTGTGGATTGCTGGGTGTTTTGCAGCATTTCTGGCCTCTACCCACTAGCTGCCAGTAGTAGCCTGCCAGTTGTGACAATCAGATTTCTTCAGACATTGCCAGATGTTCCCTGGGGGTCAAAATCACCCCTGGCTGAGAAACACTGATATATATACCTACACTACAAGTCGTAGGCTTCCAGTGTGAGAAAATGGGATTCAAGGTAATTTTTCTCACCTGGACTATAGGAAAGAACCATGTCCTCAAAGTGTGGGTTGTGGACCACCTGCATCAGATGCTTACATGCAGATTCCAGGCCTGTTTGGATCTGCTGAGCCAGACTTTCTGGTTAGTATCTGCCCTGCAGTGGGCTTTCACTGGAGTAGGGTGTTGAGGTGGGAGTATCAGGAAGGATTCCTGGAGGAAGGGCCATAGTAGCAAAGTTTGGGTGGGTAAAGGGAATTTGGTGGCCAGAAAAGGAAGGAGAAAAGGTGTTCTAGGGCCTCCTGCTATGAGTATTCTTATTGATTGATTGAGACAGTCTCACTCTGTTGCCCAGGTTGGAGTACAGTGATGTGATCATAGCTTACTGCAGCTTTGAGCTCCTGGGCTCAAGTGATTCCTCCTGCCTCAGCCTCCTGAGTAGCTGGGACCACGGGTATGTGCCACCACACATGGCTACTTTTTAAATTTTATCTTTTATAGAGATTGAGTCTTACTGTGTTACCCAAGCTGGTCTCTAACTCCTGGTCTTAAGCAATCCTCCTGCCTTGGCCTCCTAAAGTGCTGGGATCACAAGCGTGAGCCACTATGCCTAGCACTGTGAAACGTTGCAATGACAGCACCTGCTCCTTCCTGAACCCTGTCCCAAGCTTAGCATCACTGCTTCTTATTTAAATAAGTTTTTCCCCATTAAAAAAGCAGTGCGAATTCACTTTGTAAAACAATTTAGATATCACCTAGCAAAAAAGAGAAAAAATTAAAACCACATGATTCCTGTCCAGAGATAGCCATTGTTAACATTTTTCCTGTGAATCTAGTGTACATGTTGTCTTAAGTCCTGCCTTTTCTCACGTAAAAAGATTTCTTACAGAAACTCTTATTTCTTGGGAGTGCAGAAATGCTGTAAGAGTTCTGCCTCATGTTATGAAGGGGATAGGATGTTTCTTGGATGCCTGGTAGGTCACATGCCAGAACTTGTTAGCATTCAGCCTGCTGGTCTTGAAGAAACATCCTAATCTGACTCAGTGTACTAGTCAGTGTTCTCTAGAGGGAAGGGCTAATAGGATAGATGTATATATGAAAGGGAGTTTATTAAGGAGTATTGACTCACATGATCACAAGGTGAAGTCCCACAATAGGCCGTCTGCAAGCTGAGGAGCAAGGAAGCCAGTCCGAGTCCCAAAACCTCAAAAATAGGGAGGCCGACAGTGCAGCCTTCAGTCTGTGACCGAAGGCCTGAGAGCCCCCCGGCAAACCACTGGTGTAGGTCCAAGAGTCTAAAAGTTGAAGAACTTGGAGGCTGATGTTTGAGGGCAGGAAGCCTCCAGCATGGGAGAAAGATGAAGGCCGGAAGACTCAGGAAGTCAGCTCCTTCCATGTTCTTCTGCCTGCTTTCTTCTAGCCATGCTGGCAGCTGATTAGATGGTGCCCACCCAGCTTGAGGGTGGGTCTGCCTCTCCCAGTCCACTGACTCAAATGTTAATCTCTTTTGGCAACACCCTCACAGATACAAGCAGGATCAATACTTTGCATTCCTTCAATCAAGTTGACACTTAGTATTAACCATCACACTCAGCATTTCTTTTCCCTTTAATCTGCTCGTCTGCTCGATTTCTCAGGACTGGATGAAGACAGCATTCTTTTCAAAGCCCCCCAGTCATATTTAATTACTCCTATGCTCTCAATTCTGGGCACCCCCACCTGGTGCCCAGTGGGTGTCCCCCGCCTGTTGTTCTTGAGAGCTCTCTGCCCAGCTGTCTTTTCCCTCCTGCCCTCTGGCTTTCTCTGCACTCAGGTTTGTTCCCCCTCCTCTCTCCTGCCGGCCTGGCCTTTCTCTGTCTCCCCTTCGGCCCTGGTGCTGCCTTGCTCTGCAGCTGTTCATGGCTGCCCCAGGGCCTTTAGAGAACCAAGTGGTTCTGGCCTTGAAGGCATTTTACAATCTGTTTCCAAGCCTCCTCCTCACTGCCACTGCCCCTTCACACCACAGCCCACCTCCTGGTCCCTGCAGACACGTGGCTCTCCCTTGTGGTAAGGCCTGCCTCCAGCCAGCTGGGCATTCTTCCACGGCTCCCAGCCTCATCTCTTTCCCCAAAAATGTTATCTATAATTCAACACTGAATCCAATTTCACCTCCTTTTTTCCACTTCTTTCTTGTAGCGTCTTTCATCTCCATTTGTCAATTCACTTCCTCCATTCATTCATTATCCTACCCATTCTTGGTGGCTGCCATGTGCATGCGAGGCCTCTAGGGATAGAAATGAAAGGCATTGAGGAGCTGACACTCTGGCTGGGGACAAGGCACTCTGAGTGCAGTCCTGGCTTTGTTAAGGACTACCTCTCTGACCACAGGAAAGTTACTTCAGTGTCAGATCTTCATCTGTGAGATGGGGAATGTTACTGCCCTCCTTAAAGTGGAATTCTAGGAGCGAGTGGGGCAGCACATGTCACAGGCTCAATGCTCGCAT
Source organism: Homo sapiens (assembly GCF_000001405.40). Taxonomy (NCBI): domain Eukaryota; kingdom Metazoa; phylum Chordata; class Mammalia; order Primates; family Hominidae; genus Homo; species Homo sapiens. The sequence goes on along the minus strand of NC_000003.12, from coordinate 128,983,309 downwards.
TTGGAGGAGGCTGCTGGCCTGCTGAGGTCTGAGAACCTCAACATGTGTGCCTATCCCAGACATGTGTGCTTATTGTTTTGAGTTTCCTGGAATTTGGAGGCAGCAGCTCCAGGAGAACAGGGGCCTTATCCATTGCTTCATCTTCTTCAGAGGAAAGTGAGTGTCACTTATAGGCATACCTTGGTTGATAATGCTTTGCCTTATTGGGCTTCACAGAGATCATGCGTTTTCCAAATTGGAGGTTTGTGGCAACCCTGTGTTGAACAAGTCTATTGACGCCGTTTTTTCAACCTCGTGTGCTCACTTTGTGTCTCTGTCACATTTTGATAATTCTCGGATTTTTCACACTTATTATATCTGCTTTGGTGATCTGCGATCTGTGATCTTTGAAGTCACTATTGTAAATGTTTGGAGGTGCCACGAACTGCATGTGTGTGAAACGGTGAACTTAACTGATAAATGCTGTGTGTGTTCTGACTCCAGAACACAGGGTTCCAGTGATCGGCCATTCTCCTGTCTCTCCCTCTCTTCAGGCCTCCCTATTCCCTGAGATACACAATACCAAAATTAGGTCAATTAATAACCTTACAATGGCCTCTAAAGTGTTCAAGTGAAAGGAGGCCTTGCACATCTCTCCCTTTAAGTCAAAAGCTTGAAATGATTAAGCTTAGTGAGGAAGCCACATCGAAAAGCCTAGATAGGATGAAAGCTAGGCCTCTTGTGCTGAACAGTTAGCCAAGTTGAGGATGTAAGGGAAAAGTTCTAGAAGGAAGTTAAACGTGCTACTCCAGTGAACACAGGAATGATAAGAAAGTGAAACAGCCTTATAGCTGATACAGAGGAAGTTTTAATGGTCTGGATAGAAGATCACACCAGCCACAATATTAACTGAAGCCTAATCCAGAGCAAAGCCCTAACTTTCTTCAGTTCCATGAAGGCTGAGAGAGGTGAGGACGCTGCAAAAGACAACTTTGAAGCTAGCAGAGATTGGTTTATGAGGTTTAAGGAAAGGAGCCATCTCCATAACATAAAAGTGTAAGGTGAAACAGCAAGTGCTGACGGAGAAGCTGCAGCAAGTTGTTTAGGAGATCTAGCTAAGATCACTGATGAAGGCAACTACACTAAGCCACAGATTTTCAGAGTAGATGAGACAGCCTTCTACTGGAAGAAGCTGCCATCTAGGACTTTCATAGCTAGAGAGAAGTCAATGCCTGGCTTCAAAGGACAGGCTGACTCTCTTGATAGGGACAGTGCAGCTGGTGACTTAAAGTAGAGGCCAATGCTCATTGACCATTCCCAGAACCCTAGAGCCTATTAAGAATGATGCTAAGTCTGCCTGTGCTCTAGAAATGGAACAACAAAGCCTGGATGACAGCACATCTGTTTATAGCATGGTTTACTGAATATTTAAAGCCAACTGTTGACACCTACCGCTTAGAAAAAGACTCCTTTCTAATATGACTGCTCATTGATAATGCACCTGGTTGCCTGAGGTCTCTGATGGAGGTGTACAAAGAGGTGACTTTGGTTTCAACATCCATGCTACAGCCTGTGGATCAAGGAGTAATTTTGACTTTCAAATCTTATTATCTAAAAGCCACATTTCATAAGGCCATAGCTTCCATAGATAGTGATTCCTTTGATTGATATGGGCCAAGTAAATTGAAAACCTTCTAGAAGTCCAGGTGCGGTGGCTCAAGCCTGTAATCCCAGCACTTTGGGAGGCCGAGGTGGGTGGATCACCTGAGGTCAGGAATTTGAGACCAGTGTGGCCAACATAGTGAAACCCTATCTCCACTAAAAATACAAAAAATATCTGGGTGTGGTGGCAGGTGCCTGTAATCCCAGCTACTTGGGAGGCTGAGGCTAGAGAATTGCTTGAACCTGGGAGGTGGAGGTTGCAGTGAGCCGAAATTGTGCCATTGCACTCCAGCCTGGGTGACAGAGCAAGACTGCATCTCAAAAACAAAACAAGGCCAGGCGCGGTGGCTCACTCCTGTAATCTCAGCACTTTGGGAGGCCGAGGGGGACAGATCACGAGGTCAGGAGATCAAGACGATCCTAACTAACGTGGTGAAACCCTGTCTCTACTCAAAATACAAAAAATTAGCCGGGTGTGGTGGTGGGCGCCTGTAGTCCCAGCTCCTTGGGAGGCTGAGGCAGGAGAATGGCGTGAACCTGGGAGGCAGAGCTTGCAATGAGCCGAGATCGCACCACTGCACTCCAGCCTGGGTGACGGAGCGAGACTCTGCCTCGAAAAAAAAAAAAAAAGAAAGAAAAAGCTTCCGGAAAGGATTCCCCATTCTAGATGTCTTTAAAACATCTGTGATTCATGGGAGGAGGTAAAAACATCAACATTAACAGGAGTTTGGAAGAAGTGGATTCCAGCCCTCATGGCTGACTCTGAAGGGTTCAAGTCTTCAGTGGAGCAAGTCACTGCAGATGTGGTGGAAACAGCAAGAGAACTAGAATTAGAAGTGGAGCCTGAGGATGTGACTGAATTGCTGCAGTCTCATGATCAAATTTGAACAGATGAGGAGTTGCTTCTTAGGGATGAGTAAAGAAAGTGATTTCTTGAGATGAGATGGAATCTACTCCTCGTGAAGAGGCTGTGAACATTGTTGAAATGACAATAGGATTTAGAATAGTACACACATTTAGTTGATAAAGAAGTGGCAGGGTTTGAGAGGATTGACTCCAATTTTGAAAGCCGTTCTACTGTGGGCAAAATGCTATGAAACAGCTTCACATGCTACAGAGAAACCGTTCATGAAAGGAAGAGTTGATCAATGCAGGCAAATTCATGGTGAGGTGAACCCAGCCCTCAGCACCCACCATCCTGATCACTGAGCAGCTGTCAACATTGAGGTAAGACCCCCACAGCAGAAAGATGATTACCCACAGGCTCAGATGAGTGTTAGCTTTTTTTTTTTTTTTTTTTTTGAGACAGGGTCTTGCTCTGTCCCCCAGGCAGCAGTGCAGTGGTGTGATCATGGCTCACTGTAGCCTTGACCTCCTAGAATCAAGCAGCCCTCCCACCTCAGCCTCCCGAGTAGCTGGAATTACAGGTGCATGCCACCATGCCCAGCTATTTTTCTTTTTGTAGAAACAAGGTTTCACCATGTTGCCTAGGCTTGTCTTGAACTCCTGGCCTCAAGCGATCCTCTTATCTCAGTCTCCCACAGTGCTGGTATTACAGGCATGAGCCACTGTGCCCAGCCTGTAATATATTTTAGCAATGAAGTATTTTTTTCTCTTTTTCTTCCTTTCTCTCTTCCCTCGCTCCTTTTCTTCCTTTCTTCCTTCCCTCCTTTCTTTCTTTTTCTCTTTTTTCTTTTATATATATATATATATATATATATTATTATACTTTAAGTTTTAGGGTACATGTGCACAACGTGCAGGTTTGTTACATATGTATACATGTGCCATGTTGGTGTGCTACCCCCATTAACTCGTCATTTACATTAGGTATATCTCCTAATGCTATCCGTCCCCCTTCCCCCCACCCCACAACAGGCCCCGGTGTGTGATGTTCCCCTTCTTGGGTCCAAGTGTTCTCACTGTTCAATTCCCACCTATGAGTGAGAACATGCGGTGTTTGGTTTTTTTGTCCTTCCGATAGTTTGCTGAGAATGATGGTTTCCAGCTTCATCCATGTCCCTACAAAGGACATGAACTCATCCTTTTTTATGGCTGCATAGTATTCCATGGTGTATATGTGCCACATTTTCTTAATCCAGCCTATCATTGTTGGACATTTGGGTTGGTTTCAAGTCTTTGCTATTGTGAATAGTGCTGCAATAAACATACGTGTGCATGTGTCTTTACAGCAGCATGATTTATAATCCTTTGGGTATATACCCAGTAATGGGATGGCTGGGTCAAATGGTATTTCTAGTTCTAGATCCCTGAGGAATCGCCACACTGTCTTCCACAGTGGTTGAACTAGTTTACAGTCCCACCAACAGTGTAAAAGTGTTCCTATTTCTCCACATCCTCTCCCACACCTGTTGTTTCCTGACTTTTTAATGATCGCCATTCTAACTGGTGTGAGATGGTATTTCATTGTGGTTTTGACTTGCATTCTCTGATGGCCAGTGATGATGAGCATTTTTCATGTGTCTGTTGGCTGCATAGATGTCTTCTTTTGAGAAGTGTCTGTTCATATCCTTTGCCCACTTGTTGATGGGGTTGTTTTTTTCTTGTAAATTTGTTTGAGTTCTTTGTAGATTCTGGATGTTAGCCCTTTATCAGATGAGTAGGTTGCAAAAATTTTCTCCCATTCTGTTGCCTGTTCACTCTGATGGTAGTTTCTTTTGCTGTGCAGAAGCTCTTTAGTTTAATTAGATCCCATTTGTCAATTTTGGCTTTTGTTACCATTGTTTTTGGTGTTTTAGACATGAAGTCCTTGCCCATGCCTATGTCCTGAATGGTAATGCCTAGGTTTTCTTCTAGGGTTTTTATGGTTTTAGGTGTAACATTTAAGTCTTCAATCCATCTTGAATTAATTTTTGTATAAGGTGTAAGGAAGGGATCCAGTTTCAGCTTTCTACATATGGCTAGCCAGTTTTCCCAGCACCATTTGTTGAATAGGGAATCCTTTCCCCATTTCTTGTTTTTGTCAGGTTTGTCAAAGATCAGATAGTTGTAGATGTGTGGTATTATTTCTGAGGGCTCTGTTCTGTTCCATTGGTCTATTTCTCTGTTTTGGTACCAGTACGAGTCTCTATCTCTTAGCCAGGCTGGACTGCAGTGGTGCAGTCACAGCTCCCTGCAGCTTCAAACTCCTGGGCTCAGGCAGTCCTCCCAATTCAGCCTCTCAAAGTGCTGGGATTACGGACATGAGCCACCGTATCTGGCCCCAATAAGGTATTTTTTAAACTTAGGTATGTACATTTTTTTTTAGATATAATGCTTTTGCACACTTAATAGACTACAGTATGATATAAACATAATTTATATGCACTGGGAAGATAATGTATGACTCACTTTATTGTGATATTTACTTTAGTGTAGTCTGAAACCGAACGCCCAGTGTCTCCAAGAAATGCCCATAGTAGTTAATTCAATAAATATTTTGGATTGATTGAGTCAATGATCCTTTCTTCTCCTGCATTCTAGAAGTGAGACATTTGGTTTTAAATCAGAGAAAATTATCTGAACAGGGCATTGAGAATACCAACATTGTCAGAGAAGAGTCGAACCAGGAACATCCGCCAGGAAAACAAGAAAAAACAGAAAAACACCCAAAGTCTTTGCAAGGTGAGCGGAGAAGGCCTTTGTGGACAAGCTGAGTGCAAGGCGATGGCAGGGAAAGCGGTTGTGTGGTGTGCTGGAGCAATGCATCTGCATGGGCGTCCCTCCTGTGTATTGGCAGCAGAGGCGGGCGGGGCTCACCCTGCCACACGGCTGTATTGCTCTTGCTGCATGGCTTACTTTTTGTTACTGATTCTGAGTTCTGCTCTTGTCCCCCAGGCTGGAATGCAATGGCACGATCTTGGCTCACTGCAACCTCTGCCTCCTGGGTTCAAGTGATTCTCCTGCCTCAGCCTCCCGAGTAGCTGGGATTACAGGCGCCCACTACCACACCCAGCTAATTTTTGTATTTTTAGTAGAGACGGGGTTTCACCATGTTGGCCAGGCTGGTCTTGAACTCCTGACCTCAAGTGATCCACCCACCTCAGCCCCCAAAGTGCTGAGATTATAGGTGTGAGCCACTGCACCTGGTCCGAAAAACTTTTCTGACTGTGGAAGTTGTATATGTGGTTTTTAGAAAATTCAGTGAATAGATAAAAGTATAAAACAAACAGGGAAAACAATTTCATCACGAGGAGCAATCTATGTAACATTGTAGTGTGGTGGCTATGTAGTATTTCATCTGCTGGGCAGACTGTAATTTGCTAACCATTCCCTATGGTTGGGAACTTAGGACTGTTTTCATTATTCTCTAATGTAAACAGGACTGAAATGGACAATTTAATAGATAATAGACTTTCTTCTTTTTCTCTGTGGGCTGTTATGTAAGGAACTGGAGGTCTCCTCTTGACTACATTTATCCAAATAATCAAATATTAGTCTGTATGTTTATTCATTCACTCAGTTATTAACAATATCCCAGGCCTTACCACATCCCAGGCCTTCTGCATAGAGACTGACATTACAGAAATGGGTCAGGGGCCCTCATTTCTTAGTGAACTAGCATGTAACAAAAAGCTTGGAAATATTTGCTACTGTTTTCAGGTTCTCACCAAGCAGAGCCCGAAACTTCTTCCAAGAACAGTGAGGAATATGAGAAGTCCCTCAAAATGGACGATTCTTCCACGATTCAGTAAGGATTGAACGATATTTTGGGTGGTGGGAGTGGAGCCCCTCTTGTACTAGCCCTACTATGAGTCGTGGTAGGTTTTTTAGTAAATCCAGTTAAACTGGATCTCATGCAATCCAGGCTAACTTAAGCTAACAGGGAAGGGGTAGCTTGTGTTTATGAGTACATGTTGCACATCAAGCTTTCTGCATGCATTATTTTATCTCATTTGATCCTCATAATGATAACTTTGTGAGGTGGTATGACTATCTCCGTTTCCTAAAAAGGTGACTGAGTAATTAAATGGTTTACACAAAGTGATAAACCAGAATTCCTGGTTAAGCCAGGTTTCCAACCCACACCTTCAGACTCCTGAGTCTCCAGCCATCCTGCATGAGGTCAGTTGCTCTTAGGGTCTCTGGTAGCCCAAGAAGGGTCTGGAGAAGGAGACTCCTTGGATGCTATGGGGACAAGGGAGAGAATGGAAGCTCAGCTGGTGGTTTTGGGAAATGGAATGAGAAGAACCGAGAGAACATGTCTTTAAGCAATTTTGATTTTTAAAAATTGTTTTTGTATTGAATATATAGATTAATTTGGGAAGAATTGACATTTTTACATTGTTAAGGTGTCTCATCCATGATCATGGTATATATCCTTTCACTCAGTTCAGACCCCCCTTATGTCCTTTAATAGAGTTCATTTGTTCTGCCTATAAATGTTGTGGATAATTCCTATAAGTGAATTCTTAGATGTTTTATAGTTTGGGTTATTTTTATTAAAATATATTATTTTCCATCATATTTTTGAGTTTGTTAGTATCTTGAATGCAGACCAAGTGTGTCAGCATTAGGGGGGATTTGGTAGAAATGGAGAATTTCAGGCCTGCCCCTGGTTTACTGAACCAGAGTCTACATTTTATTTGACAAAATCCCTAGGTAACTCACAGGCACATTGAAAACTGAGAAGCACTGGGTTAGAGGAATGCACTATGAGGTTTTTAAAAAATCTGCTCTCATTTAGTCCATCAGTAAATAGATTCTCAGATCTGGCCCCTGATTTTTTTCACCTTCATTAATTTTTCTCTTTGTGAATTTTCTAGATGGAGTGTTTCAAGAACACCAACCATTTCTTTGGCAGGAGCAAGCATGATGGAGATCAAGGAATTAATTGAGAGTGAATCACTTAGCAGCTTAACAAACATATTAGACAGACAAAGGTCTCAAAGTAAGTTAGGATAGGATTTGGGAATTTTATAATATAACTAGACTTGGAATAATTATGAAATATTTTAAATTCAGGATACTTCAATGAGATTCTTGCATATTTGACAAAATGTTTCTCAAAAGTAAGAGTACTGTATACATTTTCAACTTATGCATCCCATCCTTACCGTCTATCCATCCATCCACCCATCCCCATCCATCCATTCATCTATCTGTCCATCCCCATCTATCCATCCATCTCTATTCATCCATCCATTCATTCATCCATCCCCATCCATTCATCTGTCCACCCACCCATTCCATTTATTCATCCATCCATCCATCCATCCATCCATCCATCCATCCATCCATCCCTATCCATCCATCTCCATCCATCCATCCATTTGTTCCATTTCTTCTCATGTCATTCACTCACCCTCATCATCCATTCCATTCCATCAATATTTTTGACCCATGGTGTTGTGCATATGGGGAACATGAAAATCTCTAATATCTAATGGAGACTTTCAAATAAAGAATTACAATTCTTTGTGATAGATGTTGTGGTATGGGTAGGTACGTGGTATGTTGGGGAGGCATAAAAGAATCATGTTTATGGAAAGACTCTCCTTGAAAGATAAAGTATTTACTCTTTTTATTTTATTTTATTTTATTTTTTTTGAGATGGAGTCTCACTCTGTCACCCAGGCTGGAGTGCAGTTGTGCAGTCTCGGCTCACTGCAAGCTCTGTCTCCCGGGTTCACGCCATTCTTCTGCCTCAGCCTCCCGAATAGCTGGGACTACAGGCGCCCGCCACCACGCCTGGCTAATTTTTTGTGTTTTTATTAGAGACGGGGTTTCACCATGTTAGCCAGGATCGTCTCGATCTCCTGACCTCGTGATCTGCCCGCCTCGGCCTCCCAAAGTGCTGGATTACAGGCGTGAGCCACCACGCCTGGCCTTCTCTTCTTTTTTTTTCTGAGAGGGAGCCTCACTCTATTGCCCAGGCTGGAGTGCAATGGCGCAATCTTGGCTCACTGCAACCTCTGCCTCTTGGGTTCAAACAATTCTGCTGCCTCAGCCTCCTGAGTAGCTGGGATTACAGGCGTCCACCACCACACCCAGCTAATTTTTGTATTTTTAGTAGAGACAGGGTTTCACCATGTTGGTCAGGCTGGTCTTGAACTCCTGATCTCAAATGATCTGCCTGCCTCAGCCTCCCAAAGTGCTGGGATTACAAGCGTGAGCCACTGTGCCTGGCCTAGTGTTCACTCTTATGGTGGAATGAAGAACACAGCATCCTGTGTTATGGGATCCGTTCATGCAGAAGCATGTAATCTTATTCACATACTGTCAAGAGAGCAGAACCCTCAGAAGCCACTAAATCAACTTCCTCATTCTCAGCTTAGATCCCCTCACCAGTTTCTCATTAAGAAGTTGTGTTTCCAGTGTGAGGTGGGAAAATCTAGAGCCAGTGGGTATACTGCTGCCTCCTGGGATGGGCCATTTCACGTCCTTTTAGCTATAATTGCTACAGATCATTTCCTCATCTCTCCATCAGTTAATCTGTTGTTTCCTGACACTGGCCTGGTTCTAGTGCAACAGTCTATGGCTGCAGAGGGAAGTGACTGCTTGAGCCAGGCTCTCTGCTGGGTGCTGGAGACACAGTTGAAGAAAACTCATTCCTATTCCTACGGTCCACAAAGACTAAGTCACACTTTCACATGTGAATGCCTCTCAACTCCTGACTTTTGTCTTTTCCGGATTAAAAGTGTCACTCTTTTTAAAAATGTGCTTTAAGCATTTAATGAGATTTTTAAACCGTTCTTTTTATTTTGAAATAAAGATAGGAAAGTTCACATGAAAATGCAACAACTACATATTCACAATTTAGGTGTTAGCATTTTGCCATGTGTTATGGGTGGACCGTCCTGCATGCACACAGTCCCCGTGCCAGGGATCTGAGTTGTCTCCAATTTCTTGCTCTCCAGCACTGCCATGGTGAGCATCTGGGCACACATGTGAGTCCACGGCATTGGCCCAGTGGGACCCCTGGGACACAGGCTGTGAGCCTCGACCCCATTGCTAGATGCTAGTGGTTTACTCTCCAGGCAGCATCTCTCTCTTTTTTTTTTTTTTTTCTTGAGACAGAGTTCTGCTCTTATTGCCTAGGCTGGAGTACAATGGCGCGATCTCGGCTCACCACAACCTCCATCTCCCGGGTTCAAGCAATTCTCCTACCTCAGCCTCCCGAGTAGCTGGGGTTACAGGCATGTGCTACCATGCCTGGCTAGTTTTGTATTTTTAGTAGAGACAGAGTTTCTCCATGTTGGCCAGGCTGGTCTTGAACTCCCGACCTCAGGTGATCCGCTTGCCTCGGCCTCCCAAAGTGCTGGGATTACAGGTGTGAGCCACCGGGCCCGGCCTCAGGCGGCATCTGTTCCCCCCTGCTTGCAGTCCTGAGGATTGCTGTTCTCCCCGGTCTGCACGGGCATGGTTTAGTTCCTGACTCCTGGTGAGGCTGAGCAGCATTGCATAGGCTTATTTGGTCACACTCTTCTGTGATTTTCCTATTCATATCTTTGCTTATTTTTCTGTTAGTTTAAAAAAAATTGTCTTACTGATCTGCCAGCTTTGTGTTTACATCTGGATAATTGTACATTGCCAGTTATATGCATGGTAATCCTCACAGACAGGGGTATATAACTTATCGTTTGACTTGATTTATGTTATCTTGTTTTGTACACCAATTATTTAACTATTCCTCTCTAGTTTATACTTTCACGAATGTTTAAGAAATCCTTCCTCAGCTGGGTATGCTGGTGCACGCCTGTAGTCCAAGCTACTTGCAAGACTGAGGGGATGATCACTTGAGCCCAGAGTTCATAGCCAGCTTTGGCAACATAGTGAAACATCATCTCTCTATCTTTTTTTTTTTTTTTTCAAGGACTGAGTTTCGCTCTTGTAGCCCAGGCTGGAGTACAATGGCGCGATCTGGGCTCACTGCTACCTCTGCCTCCCAGGTTCAAGTGATTCTCCTGCCTCAGCCTCCCAAGTAGCTGGGATTACAGATGCCCGCCACCACACCTGGCTAATTTTTTATTTTTAGTAAAGATGGGGTTTCACCATGTTGGCCAGGCTAGTATCAAAATCCTGACCTCAGGCGATCCACTTGCCTCAGCCTCCCAAAGTGCCAGGTTTACAGGAGTGAGTTACCACACTCGGGCGAAACATCACCTCTTAAAAAAAAGAAAAAAGAGGCCAGGTGCGGTGGCTTACACCTGTAATCCTAGCACTTTGGGAGGCCAAGGCAGATGGATCACCTGAGGTCAGGAGTTCGAGACCAGCCTGGCCAACATGGTGAAACCTCATCTCTATTAAAAATACAAAAATTAGCTGGGCGTGGTAGCACGCGCCTGTGGTCCCAGCTACTCAGGAGTCTAAGGCAGGAGAATCACTTGAACCCAGGAGGCAGAGGTTGCAATGAGCCTCGATCGTGCCATTGCACTCCAGCCTGGGCAACAGAGTGAAACTCCGTCTCAAAAAAAAAAAAGAAAGAAATCCTTCATCCAGATGTCAGTATAGTCTCCTAGATATTCTTCTGATGATTTTAAAGTTTTTGTTTTATACTTTTAGTCTGGAATTCATTTTGTATATGCCGTGAAGTAATTCAATAACTTAATTTGCTCCCATATGGATAATCAATATAACTTATCCACTGATTTGAAATGCCACTTCTGGCATCTGTTAGGTTCCCCTATGTGTTTGGGTCTGTTCCTGGGCTTTCTCGTCTGTCCCATTGGTCTTGTCTTGATGACCGTAGATTTATATGTGTTCTCATCTCCTTTTCCTTCTGGTCTGAGCTTGGCACTGAGCTGAGTGTTTTATGTAGCGTTGCTAATTTCCTCTTCTCAGTGTCCTAGAAGGCAGGTGCTGTTGCCCTCATATAACAGGTGAGGTTACTGAGGCTCAGACTGTGGGCTTTTGTTTGTTTAAGAGCAGGGTCTCTTAAAAAAGCCCACCGTCCACCCTGCACTGACATTAAGAGCTGACTGGAAGAGAGCCTTGAGTGTGTTATGGCATCATTGTCATGATGACCTTAGTTCTCTTCTGTCTGTGTTCTCAGTTAGCAGAGGCGGGGAATGAGAGGCCCTCACCCTATTACTACATATAACTGGCAACGGGCCTGCCATCTATATTTAGCCACCACTTCTGGTTGCTGGGAAGAGGCAGTCACACAAAGAATAACCCCTGCCTTCTAGGAGCTTCCAGAACCTTCCTGAATCTCTGTAGCATGTTCAGGTCCACATATGGCAGCTCAGATACAGTCTCCTCTTAATGCTCATCTCCTTTGTTTGATTTCACAGTTAAAGGGAAAGATTCAGAGGGAAGAAGGAAAATCCAGAGGAGACATAAGAAGCCCCTGGCAGAAGAAGAGGCAGACCCCACGCTGACAGGCCCCAGGAAGCAGAGCGCTTTCTCCATCCAGCTGGCCGTCATGCCGCTCCTTGCCGGTACCCACTGCTTGCCCTGTTCCCAGCAGCTCCTGCTTGTCTTGTGGCCAGAACGGCCATAAGCGGATGCTCCTAATGACAACCCTGCTGCGTGCCACCTCATTTCATCCTCACAGCCACCTCAGGAAACTCAGGGGAATTGGCTTCATAGTACAGGGGGAAACAAAGGCCCAGAGAGGGTAGCTACCTTGCCTGAGATCACACAGCTAGGAAATGTGAAGCCTGGACTTGAACCCAGCTCTGTTTGATTCCAAAATCCAAGGAAGCCTATGGGAATATTAAATGTCATCATTGTGTTTGTTAAGAAGATGCTGCTTTTAATAAATGCTTTCCTACAGATTTTTACAAAAACATCTAGTAAAGGGAATGAGGAAAGGGAACCCTTTTTGACTGAGCCCCTCTGGGTGCAGGCACTTCCCGTGTGACACATCACTTACTTCTCAGACCAAATTCTGACCCACTCAGCCAACCTGTGGTGTGGTGGTGGCTGTGGTGGTTATCATAGTTACCATTTTTTTCAGTGAGGAAAAGAACTCAAAGAGGTTAAGTAACTTTCCTAATCCCACACAGCTCAGTGGCCAAACAGGGATTTAATTATTTTGCTTTATAAGATCTACCACAATTTATGAACTGGACTTTATACATACTGGTAAATCATAACTAAATATTATATCAATATGTTTTGATGATTGAAAGCTCAGCATATATTTTGGTAAAATTATGTTGCTTTGTTCCAAAAAAGAGTAATATGGGGTGAACTCCCCCCCTTTTTTTTTCTTTTTAGAGAAAATTCAGACTTTGTTCGTTTTTTTGCCATCACGTGTCTTGTGCGCCCTCTCCTGGCTACTCTGCAGAAGCGCGTGCGTTGGTCTTTTCTGAGCTGGAACCAGCATTCATAGAGAAGGGGGCAAAAACCCCGTAAGTCAGAGCCTCCAGTTCAGTTCCACAGGTGCCAGTCGTCATCCTCCTCTCGCGCTCTTGGGTTGGTGTCAATTCAGTTTGAGAAAGTGCTATTAACTTTTCAGTTTGCACTTTTTTTTTTTTTGAGATAGGGTCTTGCTCTCTCACCCAGGCTGGAGTGTAAGTGACATGATCATAGCTCACTCCAGCCTGAAGCAAGCCTCCCGCCTCTGCCACCCGCATAGCTAAGACTACAGGTGCACACCACCACACCTGGCTATTTTTTTTATTTTCTGTAGAGACAAGGTCTTGCTATGTTGCCCAGGCTGGTCTCAAACTCCTGGTCACAAGTAATCCTCCTGCTTCAGCCTCTCAGAGTTCTAGAATTACAGGCATGAGCTGCCGCATTTGGCAGTTTGCAGTTTTAAATGACTTTTTGAAAATGATACTTCACCTACAGCTTGTCCTTCCTGATCACCTTCACTTTCTCGTAGCATCAGAACCTCTTGAGAGGCAACAGTGACAGAGAGTAAACTTTCAGAGGGTCTTACCCCACCCCACGCTCCAGCCTGACCCTCCAGCATACCTATTGCACACAGTAGCTTTGAGCGAACGCCTTTGCTAGCTGCTTCCTTCGTCCTACAGTCCCAAGGAGGAACCCATGATCCTCCTGGGGGAGCGTACCATGGGACCTGCCCCGCTTTGGATTTTACTGTGAGAGGAAAAAGAAGTTCAACCATTTGGGCCTGCCTGGCATGACTGTTTCCAGCAGAATGAAGCCAGGACATGGTCCCCTCTCTCTTTTTTTTTTTTCGAGATGGAGTCTTGCTCTGTCGCCCAGGCTGGAGTGCAGTGGCGCGATCTCGGCTCACTACAGCCTCTGCCCCCCCAGGTTTAAGCAATTCTCCTGCTTCAACCTCTAGAGTAGCTGGGATTACAGGCGCATGCCACCATGCCAGGCTAATTTTTGTATTTTTTGTAGAGATGGGGTTTCACAATTTTGGCCAGGCTGGTCTTGAACTCCTGACCTCGTGATTGTCTTACATGTCCGTGTGAAGAGACCAAACAGGCTTTGTGTAAGTAACAAGGCTGTTTATTTCACCTGGGTGCAGGCAGGCTGAGTCTGAAAAGAGAGTCAGCAAAGGGTGGTGGGATTATCATTAGTTCTTACAGGTTTTGGGATAGGCAGTGGAGTTAAGAGCAATGTTTTGGGGGCAGGGGGTGGATCTCACAAAGTACATTCTCAAGGGTGGGGAGAATTACAAAAAAACCTTCTTAAGGGTGGGGGAGATTATAAAGAACCTTCTTAAGTGTGGGGGAGATTACAAAGTACATTGATAGTTAGGGTGGGGCAGAAACAAATCACAATGGTGGAATGTCATCAGTTAAGGCTATTTTCACTTCTTTTGTGGATCTTCAGTTGCTTCAGGCCATCTGGATGTATACATGCAGGTCACTGGGGATATGATGGCTTAGCTTGGGCTCAGAGGCCTGACAGTGATCCACCTGCCTCAGCCTCCCAAAGTGCTGGGATTACAGGCGTGAGCTACCGCACTGGACCTAGCCTCCCCTCTCTATAACCTGCCCCGTCATGTACAATGCTGTACAGTGCAGGGGTTCACATGTAAGAACTTTGGTGACCAAAACACTTTGATCATGGCTCAGCCACTTACCAGCAAGTTACCTACTTTCTCTGAGTCTCACTTTCCTCCTCTGTGAAATGGGGGTGATTACTCCTACCTCAGAGCGTTGTTTTAAGGATCACAGGAGCTGACGTGTGTAAACTGCTAGCACAGTGGGACCCAGGGGGTGCAGGTGTGGAGGCAGCAGCTGTCCTGAGGCCATGTGTGTGGGCCGCTCCATTATACCCATGACATAGCCTATGGTCATCGACAGAGAACGGGTCAGCTCAGCAGGCCAGTTGTATGTCTGGTTTTGCCAGAAACTAATAGCATAAGATTATTTACTGTAAGCCCAGCATAATTATTTTTGGTAATCATCTTCAATTTCAAATTAGGCCATAGATCATGTATGTATACCTTATTAGTAAATATTGGTTGGCTAGTAACCCAGTAAGATTCTAGAAAGATTCTGTGTCTGGGAATGAGCTCTTATTTTAAAAGGATAGTATTGCATAGCGGAGGGGCCCCACTTAGCCCAACAGAACTGGTTTGGATGCTGGTTCTACAACGTATTTTCTAAGAGACCTTGGATGATTGCGTCAGAACTCTGGGCCTCATTTCCCCCATCTGTAATGTGGAGATGACAGCAACCACACAAGGTTAAGGATGAAATGACATTAGCGCATGTTTGGGACTGGCTGTTGGAGGAGCACAAACATTCCCTTACACCATTCCACTCTTAACCAGGGCTCTTAACTCAGGGGGCTTGTGTCTGCTGGGGACACTTGGCTGTGTGTGGAGGCATTTTGGTTGGCACGACTGAGAGTGGGATGCCACTGGCATCTAGTAAGATACTGTTAAACATGCCATAATGCACAGGACTGTCCCCTGAGCAAAGAATGGTCTGCCCCAACTGTCAGCAGTGTGGAGGCTGTGAGCCCGCAGCCTGGAATTCTGTTCTGGTGTATGTCTCCCTGACTCTGATGATTTGAGCACTTTTTTTTTATTTTTATTTTTGCAATGGGGATTCCTTCTACCTTGAGTAGTCTTTTTTTTTTTTTTGAGACGGAGTTTTGCTCTTGTTGCCCAGGCTGGAGTACAATGGCGCGATCTCAGCTCACCGCAACCTCCGCCTCCCGGGTTCAAGCGATTCTCCTGCATTAGCCTTCCTGAGTAGTTGGGAATACAGGCATGCGCTACCACGTCCGGCTGATTTTGTATTTTTGGTAGAGACGAGGTTTCTCCATTTTGGTCAGGCTGGTCTCAAACTCCCGACTTCAGGTGATCCGCCTGCCTCGGCCTGCCAAACTGCTGGGATTATAGGCGTGAGCCACCGTACCCGGCCTACCCTTGGGTAGTCTTTCATGTGAAAAGGCTCACAAAATTATAGAACACAGGCGTAATGGGTGACAGCTTTTATGAATCAGCTTTGTTAAAGAGGATCCTGCGGGAGCATGAGGGCTACCCCCAGGAGCTGTGCACGCCTCTGTTCACAGCCTGTGCAGATGGCTGTGCACACCTGGCCCGGGACTTGTTTTAGAAGTGCCTACTCTTTCTGAATGTGAGCGACTTGGCTTTTACATGCCCTAGAAATACATTTACAGGCATGTTGAAAGGAATAGACTGATCTTTTTGAGCACCATCTCATATATCATCTTTCTTAATCCTTTAAACCCAAGGAAGGTGGTGTCTATCCCCATTTTGAAGATGAAATTGAGCCTTGGAGACTCTAGCTTATCACATGACAAAGAGTCAGATCTGGGATTCAAACCCAGGTCAATCCTGCCTCCAAAACTTGAGGTGATTTTTTTTGTTTATTTGTTTTGTTTTTTCCTTACCTAGTACATCTCTGACTGGTGAAATACATGGATACCTTTTATAGAAAAAGCATTCTGGGCTGGGTGTGGTGGCTCACGCCTGTAATCCCTACACTTTGGGAGGCCGAGGCGGGTGGATCACGAGGTCAGGAGATCGAGAACAGCCTGGCTAACACGGTGAAACCCCGTCTTTACTAACAATACAAAAAATTAGCCAGGCATGTTGTCGGGCACCTGTAGTCCCAGCTACTTGGGAGGCTGAGGCAGGAGAATGGCGTGAACCCAGGAGGCGTAGCTAGCAGTGAGCCAAGACCGTGCCACTGTACTCCAGCCTGGGCAGCAGAGCAAGACTCTGTCTCAAAAAAAAAAAAAAAAAAAAGAAAAAGCATTCTGACAGCTCTGACAGCTACCTATATGCCTTGCAATGGCTCAATTCACCCACCCTTTTTGCGAGGCGCACTAGTGCAAAACCACCCTGGTGGGAGGTATGCACGCTTGTATTTGGCTCAGATGTGCCAGTTGTGTTCTACATCAGTATCTGTGCTTTCCTCATCAAATCACAACAGATGAAGCAACCCACTGAGTACCAAATGTACACACTGGCATGATATGTCCTTGGTGGGAGAACTGCCTGGAGCACTCCATCCAGTAGCCTTCCTGCAACGATGGCCAGGCTCTCTGCTGACCCATACAGGAGCCCATAGCCACATGAGGGTACTGGGCATTTGGAATGCGGCTTGTGTGGGGAAGGAAGTGCATTTTATATCTTATTTAATTTTAATTAGTTACAATTCAAGTAGCTACCTATGGCCCATAGCTACCATAGTGGATAGCACAGGTTTAGAACGTTGGTTTTCAAGTTACCTGGAGAGCTTTTAAACCTCCCATTGTGGAGGCCACACCCCAGACCAATTAAATCAGACTGTCTGGGAGTGGCACCCACACATAGGTGTTCCTATTGTGTCCTAGATGATTCAGGAAATACTTGTATTACTTCTTAAAAGATGTCATCAAGATTAAGTCACACAAATTCAATTCTAGAGAATTTACGGGACCTCAGTTTGAGAAACTAGCACAGGTCATGCTGCCTGTGGGTGTTTCCCAATTCTTTCTTTTCTTTTTTTTTTTTAATTAAAGTTTTCACTTTTGGGTTGTGATTTTATCATTGGCTCATCTCAGGTTGCTTGATCCCTCTGTGCGTGTCTTGGGGGTGTCGGGAGGAAAGGTCTAATGCTGGGTGTATTTCCCCCAGGATGGCAAACTGTCGTGAGTCGTGGCAGTGAGAAGTCTGCCAACATTTTAGATTGCCTTTTGACTTTAAAAACAGAAGTTCCGATCATGACCGAGGAGCAAAAGCAGGATTTAAATCCCCTGACCATAAAGATCAAGTGTGCTTCCTGCCTTCCATCACAGCCTGTACCCATTCAGGAACTAGAGGTAAGAATGAGCCGGACCCATGGAGTTTAGAGCTCCTCCCCTTCCACCCACCTGCCCGTCACATGCCACCTCTAGTCCTCCTGATGGCCCCACATGAGAAATGTGGTCATTCTCATACGGGTCCGTGTGAAGAGACTACCAAACAGGCTTTGTGTGAGCAACATGGCTGTTTATTTCACCTGGGTGCAGGCGGGCTGAGTCCGAAAAGAGAGTCAGCAAAGGGAGATAGGGGTGGGGCCGTTTTATAGGATTTGGGAAGGTAATGGAAAATTACAGTCAAAGGGGGTTGTTCTCTGGTGGGCAGGGGTGGATCTCACAAAGTACATTCTCAAGAGTGGGGAGAATTACAAAGAACCTTCTTAAGGGTGGGGGAGATTACAAAGTACATTGATCAGTTAGGGTGGGGCAGGAACAAATCACAATGGTGGAATGTCATCAGTTAAGGCAGTTTTTATTTCTTTTGTGGATCTTCAGTTACTTCAGGCCATCTGGATGTATACGTGCAAGTCACAGGGGATGTGATGGCCTGGCCTGGGCTCAGAGGCCTGACATTCCTGCCTTCTTATATTAATAAGACAAATAAAACAAAATAGTGTTGAAGTGTTGGAGCGGCAAAAATTTTTGGGGGGTGGTGTGGAGAGAGAACGGGCGATGTTTCTCAGGGCTGCTTCAAGCGGGATTAGGGGCAGCGTGGGAACCTAGAGTGGGAGAGATTAAGCTGAAGGGAGGTCTTGTGGTAAGGGGTGATATTGTGGGGATGTTAGAAGAAACATTTGTCGTATAGAATGATTGGTGATGGCCTGGATATGGTTTTGGATGAATTGAGAAACTAAATGGAATAAGAGAGGGAGAAAAACAGGTATAAAAGGTCTAAGAATTGGGAGGACCTAGGACATCTGATTAGAGAGTGCCTAAGGAGATTCAGCATAGTCCTGCCAGCAAAGATTATTTATTTACTTCAAGAGTTTAGAGTGGCAGTTTGGGGATAGCACCAGGAGATATCAGCTGTGATGGCTTGGAGAAACAGTGTAAACCGGCAGTGTAAACAAGAGCAGGGCACGTATGAGTAGTTGAGAACGGTGAATAGGAGTATGACTAGACAAAAGATAGTAGGGATGACAAGTTTTTTGGGGGCACAGTCTCAGTTGGTCTGGTGTCAAATGAGACTGGGGCCTAATAAAAAGGAGCATCTACACAGGAGCTTAAATGGGCTGTACCTTGTAGAAGCGAAAGTGGTAAAAGTATTGTCCAGTCCTTTTTAAGTTGGTGGCTGAGCTTGGTGAGCTGTGTTTTTAAAAGACCTTTAGTCCGTTCTACTTTTCTTGAAGACGGAGGACCGTAAGGGATATAAAGGTTTCACTGAAACCTACTAAGAGCCTGAAAAACTGCTTGGCTGATTTGACTAATAAAGGCTGGTCTATTATCAGACTGTATAGAGGTGGGAAGGCTAAACTGAGGAATTATGTCTGACAGAAGGGAAGAAATGACTGCGGTGGCCTTCTCAGACCCTGTAGGAAAGGCCTTTACTTATTCAGTGAAAGTGTCTATTTGAACTAAGAGGTATTTTAGTTTCCTGACTCGGGCATGTTGAGTAAAGCTAATTTGCCAGTCCTGGGTGGGGGCAAATCCTCGAGCTTGATGTGTAGGGAAGGGAGGGGGCCTGAATAATCCCTGAGGAGTAGTAGAATAGCAGATGGAACACTGAGAAGTTATTTCCTTGAGGATAGATTTCCAGGATGGAAAGGAAATGAGAGGTTCTGAGAGGCGGGCTAGTGGCTTGTACTATAGCATAGCCTGCCTTTGCTGGTGTGTGGCGATTAGGCCTGGTGGAACTGCCGTCAATAAATCAAGCGTGATCAGGGTGAGGAACAGGAAAGAAGGAAATATGGGGAAATGGGGTGAATATCAGGTGGATCAGAGAGATACAGTCATGGGGGTCAGGTGTGGTATCAGGAATAATGTGGGAGGCCAGATTGAAGTCCGGGCCAGGAACGATGGTAATTGTGAGACTTAAAGAGTGAGTACAGCTGAAGGAGCCGGGGAGCAGAAAGTATATGCGTCAGGTATGAGGAAGAAAATAGATTTTGGGAAATGTAGAGAGTGAGTTGAGCATAGTTTGTGACTTTTAGGGCCTCTAACAGTATTAAAGCAGCGGCAGCCGCTGCACGCAGACATGAGGGCTAGGCTAAAACAGTAAGGTCAAGTTGTTTGGACAGAAAGGCTACACGGTGTGGTCCTGGCTCTTGTTTAAGAATTCTGACCGCACTAAGCATGCCTAGGAAGGAAAGGAGTTGTTCTTTTGTAAGGGATTGAGGTTTGGGAGATTAATCAGACACGATCAGCAGGGAGAGCACATGTGTTTTTATGAGAATTATGCCAAGATAGGTAACAGATGAGGACGAAATTTGGGCTTGACTGAAGTAATGGGGGCTGTCTGTGAAGCCTTGCGGCAGTACAGCCCAGGTAATTTGCTGAGCCTAATGGGTGTCAGGGTCAGTCTAAGTGAAGGCAAAGAGAGGCTGGGATGACGGGTGCAAAGGAATAGTAAAGAAAGCATGTTTGAGATCCAGAACAGAATAATGGGTAGTAGAGGAAGGTATTGAGGATAGGAGAGTATATGGGTTTGGCACCACGGGGTGGATAGGCAAAACAATTTGGTTGATAAGGCGCAGATTCTGAACTAACTTGTAAGCCTTGTCTGGTTTTAGGACAGGTAAAATGGGGGAATGGTAAGGAGAGTTTATAGGTTTTAGAAGCCCGTGCTGTAGCAGGCGAGTGATCACAGGCTTTAATCCTTTTAAATCGTGCTGTGGGATAGGATATTGGCATTGAGCGGGGTAAGGATGATTAGGTTTTAATGAGATGGTAAGGGGTGCGTGATCAGTTGCCAAGGAGGGAGTAGAGGTCTCTTATACTTGTGGGTTAAGGTGGGGGAATACAAGAGGAGGACGCAAAGGAGGCTTTGGATTGGGAAGAAGGGCAGCAATGAGATGCAGCTGTAGTCCAGGAATAGTCAGGGAAGCAGATAATTTGGTTAAAATATCTCGGTCTAATAAGGGAACTGGGCAGGTGGGGATAACTAAAAAAGAGTGCATAAAAGAGTATTGTCTAAGTTGGCACCAGAGTTGGGGAGTTTTAAGAGGTTTAGAAGCCTGTCTGTCAATACCCACAACAGTTATGGAGGCAAGGGAAACAGGCCCTTGAAAAGAAGGTAATGTGGAGTGGGTAGCCTCCGTATTGCTTAAGAAGGGGACGGGCTTACCTTCCGCTGTGAGAGTTACCGGAAGCTCGGCGTCCGTGATGGTCTATGGGGCTTCCGAGGCGATCGGGCAGCATCAGTCTTCAGCCGCTAAGCCGAGAAGGAGTCAGTCAGAGAGCCTCGGGCCAGAGTTCCAGGGGCTCTGGGAGTGGCTGCCAGGTGAGTTGAACAGTCCAATTTCCAGTGGGGTCCCGCACAGATGGGACACGGCTTAGGAGGAATCCTGGGCTGCGGGCATTCCTTGGCCTGGTGGTCAGATTTCTGGCACTTGTAGCAAGCTCCTGGGGGAGGAGGTTCTGGAGGAACACCTGGCCACTGCGGTTCAGGCGTTTGGAAGTTCTTGTGTGCTGGAGATGTGGCTGGGATTTGTCTCACAGTGGAGGCAAGGAATTGCAACTTTTTCCTATTATTGTACACCTTGAAGGAGAGGTTAATTCAATCCTGTTGTGGGGTTTGAGGGCCGGAATTTAATTTTTGGAGTTTTATTTAATGTCGGGAGCAGATTGGGTAATAAAATGTATATTGAGAATAAGACAGCCTTTTGACCTTTTAGGGTCTAGGGCTGTAAAGCGTCTCAGGGTTGCTGCCATGAACTGGGTTGGGTTTTTATATTTGATGAAAAAGAGCCTAAACGCTATCTGATTTGGGATAAAGAAAAAGGAGCATTAACCTTGACTATGCCTTCAGCTCCAGCCACCTTTTTAAGAGTAAATTGCTGGGCAGGTGGGGGAGGGCTAGTCACGGAATGAAAACCATAAGCAGGACCAGGTGTGAGGAGGGGAGGTGATAAAAGGATTATAGGGTGGAGGAGCGGAGGCTGAGGAAGAATTGGGACCTAGCTCGGCCTGGTGAGGAGGGGAGAGGTCAGATGGGTCTGTAGAAAAGGAAGATTAGAAAGAGTCAGTGATGCTTGGGGTTGGGACTGAGGGGACAGGCGGGAGGGAAAGAAGGAAGATTTGGGAGGAGTTGCCCTGGGCACAGCGACTAGGAAGGGACTGATGTGTAAAAGAATGCCGGGACGTCAGGCACCTCAGACCGTTTGCCTATTTTACGACAAGAATTATTTAGATCTTGCAGGATGGAAAAATTTAAAGTGCCATTTTCTGGCTATTTGGAACTACTGTTGAGTTTGTATTGGGGTCAAGCGGCATTGCAGAAGAAAATAAGGCATTTAGGTTTTAGGTCAGGTGTGAGTTGAAGAGGTTTTAAGTTCTTGAGCACACAGGCTAAGGGAGAAGGAGGAGGAATGGAGGGTGGAAGGTTGCCCATAGTGAAGGAAGCAAACCCAGAGAAAAGAGAGCATAGAGACCCGGAGGGAAGGGGTTTGGGGGTTCTTGCCCCCTAGAAAAGCGGGACTTGCCGCTAAGGGTGAAGGAGAAGGGGTTGAGGGGTACTTGCCCCTGCCCCAGGAAAGTGGGACTTGCCGCTGAGGGTGAAGGAGAAGGGGTTGAGGGGTACTTGCCCCTGCCCCAGGAAAGCGGGACTTGCCGCTGAGGGTGAAGGAGAAGGGGTTCACGGGTACTTGCCCCTTCCCCAGAAAAGCGGGACTAGCCGCTAAGGGTGAAGGACCAAGGCAGGCGTCCCTGCGTGGTCTGACACCCTTGAAACGTGGGTGTATAATCAGAGAGCGTCCCTGCAATGATTAAACACCAAGGGAAGGCTGCCTTCCCAGTCCGTGACCGGCGCCGGAGTTTTGGGTCCACGGATAAAACGTGTCTCTTTTGTCTCTACCAGAAAATGAAAGGAATTGAAATTAAGGGAGAGATTGAAGTGTGGCACCAAGATTGAAAGGAGAAAGAGGTTGAGGGATAGTGAGGGAGGTTGGAGAAGAGAGTCAAAAGAGGCCGCTTACCGGATTTGAAATTGGTGAGATGTTTCTTGGGCTGGTCGGTCTGAGGACCTGAGGTCATAGAGGTGGATCTTTCTCACGGAGCAAAGAGCAGGAGGACGGGGGATTGATCTCCCAAGGGAGGTCCCCCGATCCGAGTCACGGCACCACATTTCATGCGCGTCCGTGTGAAGAGACCACCAAACAGGCTTTGTGTGAGCAACATGGCTGTTTATTTCACCTGGGTGCAGGCGGGCTGAGTCCGAAAAGAGAGTCAGCGAAGGGAGTGGGGCCGTTTTATAGGATTTGGGAAGGTAATGGAAAATTACAGTCAAAGGGGGTTGTTCTCTGGTGGGCAGGGGTGGATCTCACAAAATACATTCTCAAGAGTGGGGAGAATTACAAAGAACCTTCTTAAGGGTGGGGGAGACTACAAAGTACATTGATCAGTTAGGGTGGGGCGGGAACAAATCACAATGGTGGAATGTCATCAGTTAAGGCTGTTTTTATTTCTTTTGTGGATCTTCAGTTACTTCAGGCCATCTGGATGTATACGTGCAAGTCACAGGGGATGTGATGGCCTGGCCTGGGCTCAGAGGCCTGACAGTTATCACCTGTATTTTACCATTTAGGATCCCACAGTGAGATACAAAAGAGATGGGGTTCCTGGGATTAGGTGTGACCAGTCCTGAGGTCTCCTACTATGCCGCAGGTGCTCTTCACATGCAGGTCATGAACCTCCCTTCAGGAGCCCCCAGGCTTCCCTCTTCCTGTGGCAGTTGCCAGCGGGATGCTCACTCATTGTGAACCAACCAGGTTCAGCACTGCTGTTTATTCTGTGAGTTCCTTGTTCCCTCTTCTGGTTGGATCCCTGTCTCCTGAATTCTCTCCCTTTATTTGCTGTCTGGTTTTGCTGGAGTGCATCCTCTAGTAGCTTCTCGAGAAAAGGTCAATGGGAGATTTATTTTTGAGATCTCATATGTCTGCAGATATATTTTTTTCTACCTTTTTTTATCCTTACACATGACTGGTAGTTTGGCTGCATATAGAATTCTAGGCTAAAAATCATTTGCCTTCAGAGTTTTGAAGGCATTGTTCCATCATCTTTTATTTTCATTGAAGTTGAACCTTTGTATGCGAACTGTTTTTTGTTTCTCCAAATGCTTATAAAATCCTTTTTGTCGTCTTTTTTATTTTATTTATTTATTTATTTGAGGCAGAATTTTGCTCTTGTTGCCCAGGCTGGAGTGCAGGGGTGCAATCTCAGCTCACCACAACCTCCACCTCCTGGGTTCAAGCGATTCTTCTGCCTCAGCCTCCCGAGTAGCTGGGATTACAGGCATTTGCCACCACGCCCGGCTAATTTTGTATTTTTAGTAGAGACAGGGTTTCTCCATGTTGGTCAATCTGGTCTCAAACTCCTGACCTCAGGTGATCCACCTGCCTTGGCCTCCCAAAGTGTTGGGATTACAGGTGTCAGCCACTGCGTCCAACCTTGTCTCCTTTTTTAAAAAAATTTTTTTGAGACAGGGTCTCACTCCACTGCCCTGTCTGGAGTGCAGTGGTGTGATCATAACTTACTGCAGCCTCAACCTCCTGGGCTCAGGTGATCCTCCTGCCTTAGCCTCCCTAGTAGCTGAGACTGCAGGCACACGCCACCACACCCAGCTAGTTTTTGTATTTTTTGTAGAGACAGGGTTTTGCCATGTTGCGCAGGCTGGTCCTGAACTCCTGGGATCAAGTGATCCTCCTGCCGTGGCCTCCCAAAGTGCTAGGATTATAGGTGTAAGCCACAGTGCCAGCCCTTTTTGTCTTCTGAAACTGCTTGTGTGTCTTAGTGTGAGTATGTCCATATACATATGTCATACTTTAAAATATAGATTCACGGAAAGTTGCAAAGACAGTACAGAGAGGTCCCATGTATCCTTTGTCCAATTTCCTCAGTAATTAGGTGTTTCATAACTATAGCACAATATCAAAATCAGCACATTGACATGAGTCTAATGTGTATATAGGTCTGTGCCATTTTATTGTACATGTATGTAACTGTCACAGCACTTGAGATGTAGAAATATTCTATCATCACAAAGATCTCCTTCGTGCTACCCTTTTATAGTCACAACAACCCCTAACACCCACCATCCCTAACCACTAATTTGCTATCTCTATACTTTTGTCAATTTGAAAATGTTATTGTTAAGGATTGAATTGTGTTCCTCCAAAAAATGGTATGTTGAACTCCTAACGCCCAGTATCTCAGAATGTGATCTTATTTGGAAAGAGGGTCTTTGCAGAGGTAGTCAAGTTGAAATGAGGTCATTAGGGTATCCTTATGAAAGGGGGAAAATTGGACCCAGAGACAGACACACGTAGAGGGAAGACTATGCAAAGTGACACACAGAGAACGCCACATGGAAAGTGGATGCTGCCACATGCCAGGGGACATCTGGGGCCACCAGAAGCTGGAAGAGGCAAGGAAGGACCTTCCTGAGCACCTTCTGAGGAAATGTGGCCCTGCCAACAGCTTAATTTCTGACTTCTAGCCTCAGAACAGGGAGACAATAAATTTCTGTCATTTTAAGCCCCCCCCCAGTTTATGGCGCTTCGTAGGAAACTGGTGTGGTTATATAAATGAAAACATCCAGCATGTGACCTTTTGAGACTGGCCTTCTCCCCCACTCCAGGATAATGGCCTTGCATGTAGTTTGGTCATGTTTCTTTATTTACTCTGCCTTTTAATTGACGTATTTAGACCATTATATTTAGAGTAAATGTTGATATATTAGAGCTTAAGTCTACCATTTTAATTTTTGTTTTCTGTCTGTTCCTTCTGTTTTTTTGTTTCTCTTGGTTTTTATTCCTGCTTTCTTGTGGGTTACTTGACCCATTTTTAGAATTCCATTTTGATTTATCTGTAGTATTTTTGAATTTATATCTCTTGGTATAGATTTTTAGTGGCACTCTGGATATTATATTTAACGCATAACATAACTTTTCGCAATCTCTTGGTATCAATATTTTACCAGTTTGAGTGAAATATAGAAACTTTACCTCCCTCCATACCCCTTTAGTTTCCCTAAATATTTCCTCTACATAGATTGATAACCACATGAGATGATGTTATACTTTTTGCTTCAACTGTCAAACATAACACATAACCTAGAAAACTCAAGGGTTGAAGGAAAGTGTATTTGTTTACCCGTGGTTCTACTTATTCCATTATCCTTTCTTCCTTTCTAATGTTCCAAGACTTCTTTTGTCATTTCCTTTCTGTTTCAAGAACTTCCTTTCGCCTTTCTTCTAGGATAAATCTGCTGAAAACAAATTCTTTTAGTTGTTCTTTGTCTCAGGGTGTTTTTATTTTTCCTTCATTCTGGAAGGATAGTCTTACTGGATATAGAATTGGTATAGAATGGGGTTGATTTCTTTTTTTTTTTTTTTTTTTTGAGAGAGTCTGGCTCTGTCACCCAGGCTGGAGTGTAGTGGCATGATGTTGGCTCACTGCAACGTCTGCCTCCTGGGTTCAAGTGATTCTCCTGCCTCAGCCTCCTGAGTAGCTGGGATTATGAGCATGCACCACCATGCCTGGCTAATTTTTGTATTTTTAGTAGAGACAGAATTTCACCATGTTAGCCAGGCTAGTGTCAAACTCCTGACCTCAGGTGATGCACGCACCTCGGCCTCCCAAAGTGCTGGGGTTACAGGTGTGAGCCACTGTGCCTGGCTGGATTTTTTTTTTTAACACTTGAAAAATGTTATACCACTTTCTTCTTACCACTACAGTTTCTGATGGGAAATCTGCTGTCATTCAAATTACTTTTTTTTCCCTATAAGTAAGGTGGCATTTATCTCTTGCAGCTTTCAAGATTTTCTTTCTTTGTCATTAATTTACAGAAGTTTGACTATGACATGTCTTGGTGTGGATTTCTTTGTGTTTATCTTATTTGGGGTTCTCTCAGCTCTTTGAATCTATAGGCTTATGTATTTTGCCAAATTTGAGAAAATTTTAGCCATTATTTATTGGAATACTTTTCAGCACCACCTTTTTTCTCCTCTCCTTCTGAAACTCCAATGACATGAATATTAGTTCTTTTGTTTTAGTCCCACAGGGCCCTGAAGTTCTGATTTTGATTTTTGTGTCTTTTTTCCCCTGTGTTGTTCAGATTGGGTAATTTCTTTTTTTCTTTCTATTTTCTTTTTTTTTTTTTATTTTTTTATTTTTTTTTTATTTTTTTTTTTAATTTATTTTTTTATTGATAATTCTTGGGTGTTTCTCACAGAGGGGGATTTGGCAGGGTCATGGGACAATAGTGGAGGGAAGGTCAGCAGATAAACAAGTGAACAAAGGTCTCTGGTTTTCCTAGGCAGAGGACCCTGCGGCCTTCCGCAGTGTTTGTGTCCCTGATTACTTGAGATTAGGGATTGGTGATGACTCTTAACGAGCATGCTGCCTTCAAGCATCTGTTTAACAAAGCACATCTTGCACCGCCCTTAATCCATTTAACCCTGAGTGGACACAGCACATGTTTCAGAGAGCACAGGGTTGGGGGTAAGGTCACAGATCAACAGGATCCCAAGGCAGAGGAATTTTTCTTAGTGCAGAACAAAATGAAAAGTCTCCCATGTCTACTTCTTTCTACACAGACACGGCAACCATCCGATTTCTCAATCTTTTCCCCACCTTTCCCGCCTTTCTATTCCACAAAGCCGCCATTGTCATCCTGGCCCGTTCTCAATGAGCTGTTGGGCACACCTCCCAGACGGGGTGGTGGCTGGGCAGAGGGGCTCCTCACTTCCCAGTAGGGGCGGCCGGGCAGAGGCGCCCCTCACCTCCTGGGCGGGGCGGCTGGCCGGGCGGGGGGCTGACCCCCCCACCTCCCTCCCGGATGGGGCGGCTGGCCGGTCGGGGGGCTGACCCCCCCACCTCCCTCCCGGACGGGGCGGCTGGCCAGGCAGAGGGGCTCCTCACTTCCCAGTAGGGGCGGCCGGGCAGAGGCGCCCCTCACCTCCCGGACGGGGCGGCTGGCCGGGCAGGGGGGCTGACCCCCCCCCACCTCCCTCCCGGACGGGGCGGCTGGCCGGGCGGGGGGGCTGACCCCCCCACCTCCCTCGCGGACGGGGCAGCTGGCCGGGCAGAGGGGCTCCTCACTTCCCAGTAGGGGCGGCCGGGCAGAGGCGCCCCTCACCTCCCGGACGGGGCGGCTGGCCGGGCAGGGGGGCTGACCCCCCCCACCTCCCTCCCGGACGGGGCGGCTGGCCGGGCAGGGGGGCTGACCCCCCCCACCTCCCTCCCGGACGGGGCGGCTGGCCGGGCGGGGGGCTGACCCCCCCACCTCCCTCGCGGACGGGGCGGCTGGCCGGGCAGAGGGGCTCCTCACTTCCCAGTAGGGGTGGCCGGGCAGAGGCGCCCCTCACCTCCCGGACGGGGCGGCTGGCCGGGCAGGGGGGCTGACCGCCCCACCTCCCTCCCGGACGGGGCGGCTGGCCGGGCGGGGGGCCGACACCCCCACCTCCCTCCCGGACGGGGCGGCTGGCCGGGCGGGGGGCCGACCCCCCCACCTCCCTCCCGGACGGGGCGGCTGGCCGGGCAGAGGGGCTCCTCTCTTCCCAGTAGGGGCGGCCGGGCAGAGGCGCCCCTCACCTCCCAGACGGGGCGGCTGGCCGGGCGGAGGGCTGACCCCCCCACCTCCCTCCCGGACGGGGCGGCTGGCCGGGCAGAGGGGCTCCTCACTTCCCAGTAGGGGCGGCCGGGCAGAGGCGCCCCTCACCTCCCGGACCGGGCGGCTGGCCGGGCGGGGGGCTGACCCCCCCACCTCCCTCCCGGATGGCACGGCTGGCCGGGCGGGGGGCTGACCCCCCACCTCCCTCCCGGATGGGGCGGCTGGCCGGGCGGGGGGCTGACCCCCCCTCACCTCCCTCCCGGACAGGGTGGCTGCCGGGCGGAGATGCTCCTCACTTCCCAGATGGGGTGGCTGCTGGGCGGAGAGGCTCCTCACTTCTCAGACGGGGCAGCTGCCGGGCGGAGGGGCTCCTCACTTCTCAGACGGGGTGGTTGCCAGGCAGAGGGTCTCCTCACTTCTCAGACGGGGCGGCCGGGCAGAGACGCTCCTCACCTCCCAGACGGGGTCTCGGCCGGGCAGAGGCGCTCCTCACATCCCAGATGGGGCGGTGGGGCAGAGGCGCTCCCCACATCTCAGACGATGGGCGGCCGGGCAGAGACGCTCCTCACTTCCTAGATGTGATGGCGGCTGGGAAGAGGCGCTCCTCACTTCCTAGATGGGATGGCGGCCGGGCGGAGACGCTCCTCACTTCCCAGACTGGGCGGCCGGGCAGAGGGGCTCCTCACATCCCAGACGATGGGCGGCCAGGCAGAGACACTCCTCACTTCCCAGACGGGGTGGCGGCCGGGCAGAGGCTGCAATCTCGGCACTTTGGGAGGCCAAGGCAGGCGGCTGGGAGGTGGAGGTTGTAGTGAGCCGAGATCACGCCACTGCACTCCAGCCTGGGCACCATTGAGCACTGAGTGAACGAGACTCCGTCTGCAATCCCGGCACCTCGGGAGGCCGAGGGTGGCGGATCACTCGCGGTTAGGGGCTGGAGACCGGCCCGGCCAACACAGCGAAACCCCGTCTCCACCAAAACCAGTCAGGCGTGGTGGCGCGTGCCTGCAATCGCAGGCACTCGGCAGGCTGAGGCAGGAGAATCAGGCAGGGAGGTTGCAGTGAGCCGAGATGGCAGCAGTACAGTCCAGCTTCGGCTCCGCATGAGAGGGAGACCGTGGGGAGAGGGAGACGGAGAGGGAGGGAGAGGGAGAGGGAGAGGGGGAGGGAGAGGGAGAGGGAGAGGGAGAGGGAGACCGTGTTGCTGCTTCTTAAGCGAGTGATTATCCCTCTTTCTTTTTATTTTCTTGAGACAGAGTCTTGCTCTGTCGCCCTGGCTGGAGTGCAGTGGCGTGATCTTGGCTCACTGCAAGCTCCGCCTCCTGGGTTCATGCCATTCTCCTCCCTCAGCCTCCTGAGTAGCTGGGACTACAGGCGCCCACCACCACGCCCGGCTAATTTTTTGTATTTTTAGTAGAGACTGGGTTTCACCGTGTTAGCCAGGCTGGTCTCGATCTCCTGACCTCGTGATCTACCCACCTCAGCCTCCCAAAGTGCTGGGATTACAGGCGTGAGCCACCGCGCCCGGCCCAGATTGGGTATTTCTATTTCTATTGTTTTGTCTTCAGGTTTACAGATTCTTTCCTCTGTACATTCCATTCTGCATTGAGTCCATCTATTGAGTTTTTTTATTGCAGTTATTGTATTTTTCAGTTCTAAGATTTCCATTTTTGTTTTGTTTTGCTTTTTGAGTTGGAGTCTTACTCTGTCGCCCAGTGCAATGGTGCCATCTTGGCCCACTGCAACCTCCGCATCCTGGGTTCAAGCAGTTCTCTGCCTCAGCTTCCCAAATAGCTGGGATTACAGGCACCTGTCAACATGCCTGGCTAATTTTTGTATTTTTAGTAGATATGGGGTTTCACTATCTTGGTCAGGCTGGTCTTGAACTCCTGATCTCGTGAGCCACCCCCTTGGCCTCCCAAAGTGCTGGATTTACAGGTGTGAGCCACCGCACCCGGCCTATTTACTTTCTTTTTAAGAGATGGGGTCTTGTCTTGCTCTGTCACCCAGGCTGGAGTACAATGGCACTATCATGGCTCACTGCAGCCTTGAACTCCTGAGCTCAAGTGACCCTGCCACCTCAGCCTCCCGAGCAGCTGGGACTAAAGGCATGCACCACCACACCTTGTTTATTCTTTATATCTCCTGTTTCTTTGCTGAGCAACTAATTTTTTCATTTGTTTCAAGCATGTTCATTACTGCTTCAGATTCCTTTTCAGATAATTCCAAGATCTGTATCATCTCAGTGTTGGTGTCTGTTCATTGGTTTTTCCCATTCAAGTTGATTTTTCTGGTATGACAGGTGATTTTTTAAAAATTCTATCTTGGATATATTGAGTATTACATTATGAGACTGTATCTTATTTGAATCTTACGTTTAAGCTGGGTGCTGGAGAATCACTTGAGCCCAGGAGTTTAAGACCAGCCTGGGCAACACAGTGTGATCCCTTCTTAATTTTTATTTTAATTAGCTAGATGTGGTGGCATACACCTGTAGCCCAGCTATTCAAGAGGCCGGGGTGGGAGGATGGCTTGAACCCAGGAGGCTGAGGCTGCAGTGAGCTATGATTGCACCACTGCACTCCAGCCTGGATGACAGAGACCCTGTCTCTCAAAAAAAAAAAAAAGAAGAAGAAGAAGAAAAGAAAGAAAAAAATTGTATGTGTAGCAGGCCTTCTCCAACACCAAACTGCATGTGTAGCAGGCCTGTGGAGGGGGAGATGAGAGAGTTACCATCTCAATACTGCCAGGTGAGACTCCAGGTTCCCCACTTGGCCACTGTACCCTGTGGGTAGGGATATCTTGTTACTGCTCTTGTGGACTTCACTGATACATGATGGGAGGCTTCATTTCCATTGAGGGTTGGGGAAAGTCCTGGCTCCCCACCAGGTCTTTTCTGACACTACCCCAGTGAGGTAAGGAGCACCAAGTTAAAGTCAGTGAGGGTAGAAGTCCAGGCTTCCCATGTAGCCTTTGTTTCTGGGGTGGGGCATGATTTTTTCCATGGTGTGTGTCTGGGGTAGGGAGGTTATTTGCCTAAAAGTTTGCTGTTCTGCTGAGTTGTCCCTTTCTTCGTCTTTGATATGGAGAAAGCAGACTTTTCTTGGGGTCCTTTCTGCCTACTCTCACTGGTATTTCTGGATACTGCCTTCTCCAGCACTCAGTCCGGAATATATGAGGCAAATAGAAGACCCAGGATCCCATGTTCCCTAAACACCTTTTCTGTACTTTTCAAAGTCTTTGTATTTTTTTTTTATATATACAACCTGCAGAGTTTTAAAGCTGTACTTAGTAGAACTAGAAGTGTGTCTATTCCATCTTGATCCAGAACAGGAACTCTGTAAGTGTATTTTTACCCGTGAAGCTGGGGATTCAGTGGGCCATTTCAACCTAGAAGCCCACATCCTTCAGCACCGGGAAATTGTCTTAAATTATTTCACTGATTATTTCTTCATTTTTTTCCCCCTTTCTTTTTGGGACTCTGTTAGCTAGATGCTGACTCTCCTGGGCTTTCCTTTTTTTTTTTTCTGAGATGGAGTCTCGCTCTGTCACCCAGGCTGGAGTGCAGTGGCACGATCTCAGCTCACTGCAACCTCTGCCTCCCAGATTCAAGCAATTCTCCTGCCTCAGCTTCCTGAACAGCTGGAATTACAGGTGCCTGGCACCACACCCAGCTATCTTCTACTTGTTTTTATTGTTCTTTCTCTCCTAATTGATCCTTTTTCTAGGAAATGTTCAGAAAAGAGTGAACAGAGTGGGCCTGAGACTACCGTCCTTAAAAAGTCCTGTTTGCAGAGTTGACCCAGGCTGGTATATGGGAACTTGCATTTTGAGAGGGTTCCCCGCACTCCCCGTTAAGAATGGCTCACTGTGCCTAAATGGCTTTTGCAAACAGTATCGTTTGTGCTGAATGCCTGCTTTCCCTTTGGGAGGCTGAGATTTTCATACATGCTAGGCAGGGGGTGCTATGTGACCAGGCCTCAGCAAAAGCCCTAGGCAGTGAGTCCCTCATGGGCTTCCCCAGTGGACAGCATTTCACACGTTGCTGCACTGCATCAGGGAGGAGTTGAGCACCCCCTGTGTGTATCCCCTGGGAGAGGACTTCAGCAGCTTGTGCCTGCCCCCTTTGTTGTTTGCTTTGTCTCTTTTGCTGTAATAAATCACAGACACAAGTGCGCTGCACCCATGCTGAGTTCTGTGAGTTCTCCTAGCGAATCACTGAACTTGAGGGTGTCGGGGGCCTGGGACACAGCACTTCCAGCTTGCTTCATGGGCACTGTCGTCACGTGTGTAGTCCGCTTCCTTTAGGTTGATCTTCCTGTTTGTTTCACTCCACCTTCCAGGTCAGACGTTTTCCTCCACTGTCTGTTAATCCCCTGGCCCACTGCTCATGGCTGAGAGAGCACAGACCTAAAAGGCGAGCTTTGGGTGCACGGTGGGCTTCTCAGCTCTGAGCTTCACCATCGGGTGATCTGAGTGGGGCGTTGGTGGGAACCCCTGGGTTCTACAGGGCTTTCCTAGTTCCCTGCCTGGGGGGTCAGGGTCTAGCCTGCTGCATTCTGAATGCCCACAGACAGAAAGGAGCTGGGAATTTGCACTAAGCAGTGAGCATTTGGTCACCTAATCTCCCTATTTGGGAACGGCACAGATGCCCTCAACTATCCCCTATTCCAGAGACCCTCTGTTATTTTTTTTAAAAAACAAATTTTTCTACAGTAAAATTGATGTTTATCTTTTGGTTTATAGGTCTATAAATTTAAAATTATGTATAGATCAGGCCAGGTGCAGTGGCTAACACCTGTAATCCCAGCATTTTGGGAGGCTGAGGCAGGTGGATCATTTCAGGTCAGGAGTTTCAGACCAGCCTGGCCAACATGGGGGAAACCCTGTCTCTACTAAAAACACAAAAATCAGCTGAGCGTGGTGGCACGTGCCTGTGATCCCAGCTCCTCAGGAGGCTGAAGCAGGAGAATTGCTTGAGCCTGGGAGGCAGAGGTTGCCGTGAGCCAAGATCGCGCCATTGCACTCCAGCCTGGGCTATGAGAGAGAAACTCTGTCTCAGAAAAATAAAATAAAATCACGTATAGATCAATATTATCACCACTACAGTTAGGATACAGTTCTGTTACCCCAAACCCCTCCTTTGTACTCGCCCTTCATAATCACTTTTGCTTCACACACATAACCTCTGACAGCCACTGATGTGTTCTTTATGACTATAGTTTTAACTCTGGAAGAATGTCATGTAAATGGGGCTCTGTGTTTTGCAGCATCATGCAGCTGTAACCTTTGATTCAGCAGATAACAATGTGCATGGCCTCTCCACTCAAGGTAATGCCTTTCAGATTCATTCAAGTGGCCGCATCTATCGGTAGTTCTTTCCTTTTCATTGCTGAGCAGTATTCCATCACAAGGGTGTACCACAGTTTGTTCGTGCACTCATCAAAGGACATTTAGGTTGCTTCTAGTTTTTGGTAATTATGAATAGAGCTGCTTAAAAACAGTGTACACATGTTTTTATAGGAACATAAGTTTTCAGTTCTTTAGGGTAAATGCCAACAAATGAAATTGCTAGGCTATATGTTAAGTATATGCCTGACTATGAAAAACTGCCCACCATTTTCCAGTGCGGCTGATCACTCTGCATTCTCATCAGCAGTGAACAAGGGTTCTAGTTGCTCCCTACCCTCTCCAGAATGTGGTATTGTCAGTATTTTAAGTTTAGCCAGTCTAAGAAGTTTGTATTGTTATCATATCATGGTTTTAATTTGTAGTTCCCTGACGGATAATGATGTTGAGCATCTTTTGATGTGTTTATTTGCCATTTTACATCCCATTTGGTGAAATTTCTGCTCAAATTTTTGCTCATTTTTCAGTTGGGTTGTTTACTGTCTTACTGCTGAGTTTTGGGAGTTTTAAAAAATATATATTCTAGGCTGGGCACGGTGGCTCACGCCTGTAATCCCAACACTTTGGGAGGCTAAGGCGGGCGGATCACTTGAGGTCAGGAGTTCAAGACCAGCCTGGCCAACATGGTGAAACCCCATCTCTTCTAAAAACACAAAAATTAGCCAGGCCTGGTGGCGCGTGCCTGTAATCCCAGCTACTCAGGAGGCTGAGGCAGGAGAATTGCTTGAACTGGGGAGGTGGTGGTTGCAGTGAGCTGAGATTGAGCCACTGTACTCTAGCCTGGGCAATGGAGCGAGAGCCTGTCTCAGGGAAAAAAAAAAAAAAATTCCGGGATGGGCACGGTGGCTCACGCCTGTTATCCTGGCAATTTGGGAGGCTGAGGCAGGAGGATCACTTGAGCTCAGGAGTTCAAGACCAGCCTGGGCAACATGGTAAAACTCTGTCTCTACAAAAAAAAAAAAAAAAAAAAAAAAAAAGGAAAGAAAAGAAAAATTAGTGGGGCATGGTAGCACACACCTGTAGTCCCAGCTACTAGGGAAGCTGAGGTGGGAGGATCAGCTGAGCCCAGGGAGGTTGGGGCTGCAGTGAGCCATGATTGCACTACTGCACTCCAGCCCGGGGCAACAGAGCAAGACCCTGTCTCACCATAAATATATATATATAATAAATGTGTGTTTACATACACATTCTGGATTTAAGTCTGTTGTTGGATATATTATTTGCTAATATTTTCTCCCAGTCTGTAGTTTGTCTTGTCATTCTCTTTTATTTTTAACCCAATCTGTGACAAGCACATCTTTTCATTCTCTTTACAGTGTCTTTTGCAGAGCAAAAATTTTAATTTTGATGAAGTCCAAATTATACATTTTTTTTCATGTATGCATTGTGTTTCTGTGTCACATCTAAGAACTCTTTGCCTAACCCCTGGTCAGAAGGATTTTTTTTTTCTGTTTTCTTCTCAATGCTTTAATAGTTTTATAGTTAACATTTATATCTTCGATCAATTTTTTTCTTTTTTGAGACAGAATCTCATTTGTTGTCCAGGTTGGTGTGCAGTGGTGCAGTTGTAGCTCGTTGAAACCTCAAACCTCCTGGCCTCAAGCAGTCCTCCTGCGTCAGCCTCCCAAAGTGCTGGGATTAAAGGTGTGAGCCACCACACCCAGCCTTTGATCAATTTTGAATGAATTTTTGTATATGGTGTGAGGTTTACGTTGAAGTTTCTTTCTTTTGCACTTTTGATAAACATAGATTAGCCATACTTGTGTGGATCTGTTTCCGGTTTCTCTTTTCTGATCCGTGGGTCTGTGTCTGTCCTTTCAGCAACACGACACTGTCTTGCTTATAGTAGCTTTGTAGTAAGTCGTAAAAATGGGTGAAGTGGTTCCTCCAACTTTAGTTTTCAACATTGTTTTAGCTCTTCCAGTTTCCTGGCTCTTCTATACAAATTTTAGAATCAGTTTATCAATATCTACAAAAAGTTGTGCTGGGATTTTGATTGGAATTGCATTACATTTGTAAACCTATAAACTGATTGGTTTGAGGAGAGTTGACATCTTTGCTATATTGTCTTCCAATCTATGTATATAGTACATCTCTCCATTTATTTACATCTTTTTTTTTTTTCATCAGTGCTTTGAAGTTTTCAGGACCCCCTATTTACATTTTGCATGGAGAGCAAACTAGTAGACTTCTGCCGAGCCACTGGGGGGACACCTAGGGATCTGATTGCTTCTTAAGGAACTTGCACCCAGTCCTCCCTGCTCCAGCCGTTCCTTTTTACTGCCAGTTCCAGAGATACTAGGTTTGCCATTCCCAAGTCTTTTGAGAGTTTTACAGAGAAAATCTGGTTGGTTCTCAGCTTCTCCATTGTGTGGTTGGTATTTGGCTTTCTCAACTGTGCCAAGCCAGTTACAAATAAATAGAAATACAATAGGTTTTACCTTGATTATATTCTTTCTTTTCTTAAACTTATATCCTTATTTTATATCTCTGATCATTCTAATATCTTATGCCTTGGTGCATCTGATTTCACTAGTAGTGCCTTTGTCTTTACGTGTTCTGTGATTTTTACCATGATCTCGTGTTCAATGGAACTTTCTTGATGGGAATTCTTTGAGGCCTAGGTTGAAAGTGACTATCTCCAGAGGTATTGTGTCTCTGCCCACTGCTCTGGGAGCACCGCCAATCCGGGATTATTTTAGAATAAATTCTCAGCTTCCGTGTAAAATAAATAGTGCCTTTAGATTACGAATTCAGACCACAGACTTGTGTAAGGCTTAATTTGTGATGATAAAATCTCAGCACCAAGGTCAAACCATGCAAATGTCCCTGCTTTCTGCCTCAGCATAGCTTGGCTCTTCCTTTCCACCCTGTTCTCCGTGCTCTCTGAGGCCCAGACCTCTCTGAGGCTGTCTCCTGCCCAGAGTGTCAGTTTTCAGCTTGGCACCTGTGGCTCTGCTAAAGGGGTCTGTGTCGACCCCCAGATATATATTTGGAAAACAGAGATTTCCTTTCTAAAAATCACTTCTCTGTACCTTTTCTGTGCCCAGCCTCGGGATAGGAACTAGAAGTACAGGTATGAAAAAGGACACATGGCCTATCTTCATGGCACTCACATTTTGGGAGGAAAATAAGTAACGAATGCTTTTTGAGTCCTTGTTTCATGCCAGTCGCCATCCTGGTGCGTTCACATGCATGATGTCTGCAGTCCTAGTAATGACCTTGCACAGTAGTGTCTCTTATGGATATTTTGTGGATGAGAAAACTTGGGCTACAGGGACAGGCAATGAGCCTGGCACTGGGATTTGAGCTCCTCATGCTGGGGCTGAGTGACTGTCCTTGTGGCTGGGTGACCTGCTGTGGCCCTGCTCTCTCGTAGAGGCTGTGCATGCCTGTGTACTGCAAGTACCAGTTCCATAAGACTCCAGTTCACAAGACCAAGGGGGAGCCCCATGGAACCCACGTTTATTTCCAGGACATCAACGTCATCTTCCTTGGGGCACTGCACCCCAGTGACCTAAGGGAATACCTGGAGGGCCCCCCCATGGTGGTGGAAGTTCACGACCGGGACCGCAAGTCAGAGGAGTGTTCTCAGAAGCCCGTGCTGTTTGGGGAGGACCCTCTGGATTCATACCTCAACTTCCAGGCCCTCATCTCTCCCAGAGAGACAGAGAACAACCCCTTTGAGTCCCAGAACAAGATGTGGTACCCTTATGGCATCGCCCAGGTCAGTTTTGCTGACCTCCTCCTTGGCCACAAGTACTTGAATCTGGCCGTCCCCATCCACAGCTGTGAGGTTCAGCCCACACACTGCGGCCAGGACAGCAGGAGAAGGAAGGTTGTGGGGCTTGGGGTCCCCAGAGATGGCCACCAGCACGGCCCAATGCCCAGGGGCAACTACCTAGAGGCTGACTCCCAGCTCAAGTTGCGAGTGGACATCGCGGTGCCACTGAGGGCCGGGGCCAGAGCTGCTGATCCTGACCTTGGGGGCTCCCAGTTTGGCCGCATCATCTTCGTCTTTGACTTTAAGAAGGTCTCCCTGCTCCACAGCCTGCTGCAGGACATCACCATGATCAACGCTAAGGCCCTCGGCCTGGACTCCTACCCTGTCAGGACCCTGCAGCAGATCCTGTCAGCCTTCAAGGTGCGTGTGCGGGTCCAGGAGCAGCAGCACCTGGATGTGCTCACTGGCTTCCACCTGCTGGACGGGAAGACACACCTTTTCATCCTGGAAGGCCTGGCCGACCAAGGCTTGAGGCAGCTGTGGGAGAACCACCAAAGCTGGTAGGTGGTTTGTTTTACATTTTACATAAAAATGATGGCATCTGGATGCCGAGGGAGTGGAGAGGTCTTTCAGAGCCAAGCCTAGGTTTAGCATCCTTGTCTGTGAGTCTCCTTTCGGGGTTCATTGTGAGGTACTTACCAGGGTTTAGTCATTGGACTTGAAGACTCGATTGGCTTTGGTTCCAGGGAGGAATTCGGGAGTATCTAAGATGACTGAGGGGTCCAGGAGAGTGGGGCCTGTCTTCAGGGTTCTGAGCCAAGGGCTACTGTGGCTAAACAGGAGCAGAATATTCTGTATTAGATTTCACCTTGCCCCAGGGAAGATCATTTTGAAGATGGAGGGGCTGCTTAGGCTGCAGGAAATTGCCCTTCCCTGAAGGCCTTCAGGGTACCTGGGGGCCACTCAGTGGGAACACTAGAAGTGAATAATTAAAGTGTCCAATTCTGGGCTGCAGCGGGTAGCCCTTTGCAGTTCCTCCATTTTTTAGTTTTGGTGACATGACACCTCTCCCTTCCTTTCACAATTTGCAAGTATACTAGTTTGGGTAGATCGGATCTCCGTCCTTTAGTCTGGAGGGCCCCCATCTGTCCTCAGAGTTCAGATGCCCCAGGACCCACTTGGATGCAGTGGGGAGTCCCGGAGTTGAGGCTGTCTGCCCAGAAGGGGATTGCACCTCTGGGAGACCTGCCTTCCTGTGCTGATGGGCCCAGAGGCACCGGGAGAAGCTGGCCTTGTATCTATTATAAGCCCAGGAGAAGTGAAAACATATGTCCACACAAGAGCTTGTACACACATGTTCACAGCAGCATTATGTATAATAGTCAAAAAGTGAAAACAGGCCAGGTGCAGTAGCTCACGCCTGTAATCCCAGCACTTTGGGAGGCTAAGGTGATCCTGGAATCACTTGAGCCCAGGAGTTCAAGACCAGCCTGGGCAACATAGTGATACCTTGTTACTACAAAAAATACAAAAATTAGCCAAGCATGGTGGCTCATGCCTGTAATCACAGCTACTTGGGTGGCCAAGGTGGGAGAATCACTTGAGCCCAGGAGGCGGAGGTTGCAGTGAGCCAGTATCACGCCACTGAATTCCAGCCTGGACAACAGAGCCAGACCCTGTCTCAAATTAAAAAAAAAAAAAAAAAAAAAACGGGGGAAATAACCCAAATGTTTATCAACTGATAAACAAAAGATAATAAGTCCATAGAATAATTGAGCCATAAAAGGAAATGAAAGCCAGGCACGGTGGCTCACACCTGTTATCCCAGCACTTTGGGAGGCTGAGGCGGGAGGATTGCCTGAGGTCAGGAGTTCGGGACCAGTCTGGCCAACATGGTGAAACCCTGTCTCTACTAAAAATAGAAAAACTTACCCAGGCATGGTGGCACGTGCCTGTAATCCCAGCTACTCGGGAGACTGAGGCAGGAGAATTCCTTGAACCCTGGAGAGGGAGGTTGCGGTGAGCCGAGATCGTGCCACTGCACTCCAGCCTGGGAAACAAGAGCGAAACTCCGTCTCAAGAAAAAAAAAAAAGAAATGAAATACTGATACACATATCTCAACCTTGAAACATTATGCTAAGTCAAAGAAGCCAGACACAAAATGGCACATATTGTATGATTCTGTGTTTGTGAAATGTCCCGAACCGGCAAATCCATAGAGATAGGTAGGCCGGTGGTTGCCAGGGATAACCACTCGGGAGGGCAAGAGAGAAGCGGGGAGCCACTGCCAGTGGGCACAGAGTTGCCTTTAGGGATGTGGAGGATGTTCTAGAACTAGATAGTGTTTATGGCTGCACAACATTGTGAATGTAGTCTAAACCACTCATTCATGCGCTTTAAAAGGTTGAGTTTTGCCGGGCACAGTGGCTCACGCCTGGAATCCCAGCACTTTGGGAGGATGAGGCAGGCAGATCACGAGGTCAGGAGATCAAGACCAGCCTGACCAACAAGTGAAACCCCATCTCTACTAAAAATACAAAAATGAGCCAGGCTGTGGTGGCGTGTGCCTGTAATCCCAGCTACTCAGGAGGCTGAGGCAGGAGAATCGCTTGAACCCAGGAGGTGGAGGTTGCAGTGAGTGAGATCGCGCCACTGCACTCCAGCCTGGGTGACAGAGCTAGACTCCGTCTCAAAAAAAAAAAAAAAAAAAAAAGGTTGAGTTTTGTTCAAGACCAGCTTTGCCAACACGGTGAAACCCCATCTCTACTAAATACACAAAAATTAGCCAGGCGTGGTGGCAGGCACCTGTAATCCCAGCTACTTGGGAACTTGGGAGGCTGAGGCAGGAGAATTGCTTGAACCCGTGGGCGGAGGTTGCAGTGAGCCGAGATCATGCCACTGCACTCCAGCCTGGGTGGCAGAGCAAGATTCCATCTCAAAAAAAAAAAAAGATTGAGTTTTGTGGTGTGTAGCAAAGAATGTGGCCTGGCCCAGGAGCAGTCTGGGCTCTGCCCTTGGCTCCTGGGAGGCGATCTGAGTCACACCTAATAGGAGTGTCTTTGTTCAGGGAGGGGACTGGTCACACCTGACAGTCACAGGATGGAGGCTGACCTTCCAGAAAGACCAACCAGGTGCTTCGGGATGGGGGCTTTGGGTCATGCAGAATCAGGAGACTGAGTTCAGCCATGTAGGCGGTCAGCCAGCCTGCCATACCTGTGCAGTGGAGCCCCCTGGAAACTGTGGCCGCCAGGGCTGGGGCGAGCTGCCTGGCTGCAGTGTGCTTGCATGCCGCCACTCACCAGTGCTAGGAGGGTAGCACATCTGGCTCCACGAGAAGACAGTAGAAGCTTTGTGTCTGGAGCCATCGTGGACTCTGCTCCATGTGTTTGTTCCCTTGGCGGATTTTAGTCTGTATTCTTTCCCTGTAATACAACTGTAACTGTGAGTGTAGAACTCATTTTCAGTAAGTTCTGTGAGCCCTTCTAGTGCATTATCAAACCAGAGGGCGGTCTCAGAAACCTTCTGAACTTGCAGTTGGCGTCAGAAGTAAGGGCGGTCTTGGGGACTGTGCCCTCAAACTTTGTGGTTTGGCTAATGCTGGGCAGATAGTATATGAATTATATCTCAAAAGCTTTTTCCAGTGGCAGAAATATCATGAAGCATGCTCATTGAACCCAGTTGAATTAGGCTAGAAATAAAACACAAATCATTAACCAGAAAAAAGTTCATATGCAGGGAAATTAATAACCATACTTCCAAATAACTTGT
The DNA here is from genome assembly GCF_000001405.40 of Homo sapiens. Lineage (NCBI taxonomy): Eukaryota > Metazoa > Chordata > Mammalia > Primates > Hominidae > Homo > Homo sapiens. Next base: position 128,941,861 of record NC_000003.12, on the reverse strand, counting down.
GGGTCAAAAAGAAATCATAATGGAAATTAGACATTTTTGAACTGAACAATAATGAAAATAATATATTATCTAAATTTGCAGGGTGGGCCGGGCACAGTGGCTCATGTCTGTAATCCCAACACTTTGGGAGGCCAAGGTGGGCGGATCGCCTGAGGTCAGGAGTTTGAGACCAGCCTGGCCAACATGGTGAAACCCCATCTCTACTAAAAATACAAAAATTAGCTGGGCGTGGTGGCACATGCTTGTATTCCCAGCTACTTGGGAGGCTGAGGCAGGAGAATCGCCTGAACCCAGGAGGCAGAGATTGCAGTGAGCCAAGATCATGCCACTGCACTCCAATCTGGACAACAGAGTGAGACTCTGTCTCAAAATAAATAAATAAATAAAAATTTGCAGAGTGATATTGAAGCATTAGTCAGAAGAAAATGTATAACCTTAAAATGCTTATTTGGAAATGAAAAATGCCTGAAAATTATTGAGACATAACTATAGTTGTTGCAGACATTGATATGTGTTTCAAATTATGCCAATATATTTAAAAAATTATAAGAAATTTAAAAAATACCAAAAGTATGTTCAGATAAGATTATTTAATGTGGTATCGAATATAAAAATTAGTATAAAAATCTATCAAATTTTGAATACCATCTACCTACAAAAACTAATTTTTAAAAATTGGAACACATTTAAAGTAAAATGTATGAAATTCATAGGACTAAATTTGACAAAAAGATGTGAAAGACATCCATCATGAATATTATAGAACTTCAGGAAACATTAAGGAAGACATAAATAAGTGGAGAGAGATACCATGTTCATGAATTTGAAGACTCAATATTCTAAAGGCTCAGTTATCTTCAAATTTGAACTATAGATTCAGTGCACTTCCAGTTTTAAAAATCCCAACAGCTTTTAAAGTATGGACATTGATTTTAAAATTTTAAACTTCCGCATGTTAATAAAGGTTCATACTTTTTTTTTTCATCAAAGTCCATACTTTAAAAGCTGTTGGAATTTTAAACCCTTTACAGCAACATGTAAAGGTCTTTTTTAAAGAAGATACCCTTGAATAAGAACAAGATAGAAGAACTTGCTGTACTAGATATCAAGACTCATGATAAAACTATAGTCATTAAGATAGTGTGGTATTGGTTCAGAGATAGACAAGCAGACCTATGGAATATAATAGAGAATCCAGAAACAGACCTACACATAAGTGTTCATTTGACATATGACATATGTGATATTGCAAAATTGGTGGGGAATAAATACACTAAAAAACACTGAATTTTCTACTTCAAAAGAATGAATCTTACACAATGGGATGCTATTTCATACTCATTAGGATGGGTAGAAACCAAAAGTCCAATAATGACAAGTGTTGGCAAGGATGTGGAGAAATCAGAAGTGTCCTCTGCTGGGAGGAATGTAGGTGCAGCCACTTTGGAAAACATTCTGGCAGTTCCTCAAGTGATTAAACACAGAGTTCCCATATGACCCAGGAATATCACTCCTAGATCTGTGCCCAAGAAAATGAAAACATGTATCCACACTAATGTGTGGATTATCGCCAATTAGTGTACTAAACTTTGTACACTCATGTTTATAACAGCATTATTCATAATAGCCAAAAGATGGAAACAGCCCAAATGTCCATCAAGTAGTAAAAGGGTAAACAAATAATGGATATGCATACACTGGAATCCTATTTGGACATAAAAAGGAATGAAACACCATGACATTCTGCACTATGGATGAACCTTGAAAACATGCTGAGGAGAGGCGGCCGGCCACAAGATGTCACATATGACGTGATTCAATTTATGCGGAATGTCCAGAAGAGGCCAATCTATCAGAAAGTAGATTAGTACAGGCGTCTCCAACCCCTAGGCCATGGACCTGTACCGGTCTCTGGCCTGTTAGGAACTGGGCTGCACAGCAGGAGGTCAGCAAGCTCTGCCTGAGCTTCGCCACCTGTCAGATCAGCAGTGGCATTAGATTCTCATAGGAGCGGGAACACTTTTGTGAACTGTGCATGCGAGGGACCTAGGTTGCGCATTCCTTATGAGAATCTAATGCCTGGTGATCTGAGGTGCAACAGTTTCATCCTGAAATCATCCTCCCAACCCCGTCCGTGGAAAAATTGTCTTCCACGAAACCAGTCCGTGGTACCAAATAGGTTGGGGACCGCTGGATTGGTAGATACTTAGGGCGGTGGATCAGGGGTGGGGGTATTCAGGGGGTTGGGAGTATACGGAGCGATAGCTGAGGGGTGTGGGGTTTCTTTTTGAGGTGATGAGATGTTCTAAAATTGATGATGGTGGTGGTGGTTGCACTAAATAGATGAAAAACTATTGAATTATACTTTACAAATGGGTAAGTTGTCTGTCATGTAAATTATATCTCAATTAAAAAATAACTCTAGGCTGGGCACAGTGGCTCACGCCTGTAATCTCAGCACTTTGGGAGGCTGAGGTGGGCAATTACCCAAGGTCAGGAGTTTGAGACCAGCCTGGCCAACATGGTGAAAACCCGTCTCTACTAAAAATACAAAAGTTAGCCAGGCGTGGTGGCGCACACCTGTAATCCCAGCTACTCGGGAGGCTGAGGCAGGAGAATTGCTTGAGCCCAGGAGACAGAGGTTGTAGTGAGCCGAGATCGCGCCACTGCACTCCAGCCTGGCTGACAGAGCCAGACTCTGTCTCAGAAAAATAAATAAATAACTCTAGCAGACAAAAAAAGTTCAGTAGGGAAAGGATAAACTTTTCAATAAATGGTGTTGGGATAATTGTTTTCATAGGAAAGAAGGACAGACATCCTTAACCCCTGGCAACCACTGCTATATCTGAAAATAGACGTGATTTTTGAATGTTGATCTTATATCCTAAAGCCTTGCTGAAACTCACTGGTTCTAGGAGTTTTTGTTTTGTTTTTTGGGAGATTGCTTGGGATTTTCTACACTGACCATCATGTCATTTGCAAATAGGGATAATTACATTTCTTTCTTTCAGTCTGTATACCTTCATCTCCTTGTTGTACTGGCCTGGATGTGCAGTCCTGTTTTATATAAGAATGGTGAAGGTGGCTCACTCCTGTAATCCCAGCACTTTGGGAGGCTGAGGCGGGCGGATCACCAGGTCAGGAGATGGAGACCATCCTGGCTAACACAGTGAAACCCTGTCTCTACTAAAAATACAAAAATTAGCCGGGCGTGGTGGTGGGCGCCTGTAGTCCCAGCTACTCAGGAGGCTGAGGCAGGAGAATGGCATGAACCCGGGAGGTGGAGCTTGCAGTGAGCCGAGATCGCGCCACTGTACTCCAGCCTGGGAGACAGAGCGAGACTCCATCTCTTAAAAAAAAAAAAAAAAAAGAATGGTGAAGGCACACACACTTGCCTTGTTTCTGGTCTCTGCGGCAGAAGGCATCAGTGTTTCCCCACTATCTATGATGTTAGGTGTAGGGTTTTTGTAGATGTCCTTTATGGGTCTGAGGAAGTTCCATTCTGTTCCTAATTTGCTGGCTCACACAATTCATGAAAATCAACTCTAGTCTAGGTAGACCAAGCCCGTTTTTAAACTTTTAACTTTGTCGTTTTTTTGAGCTTTTTCTTTCTTTTTCTTTCTTTTTATTGAGACAGGGTTTATTGCTGTTACCCAGGCTGGAGTGCAGTGGTGCGATCACAATTCACTGCAGCCTTGACCCCCCCACCTCAAGCAATCCTCCCACCTCAGCCTCTCAAGTAGCTGGGACCGACAAGCATGTGCCACCATGCCCAGCTAATTTTTTTTTCTTTTGTTTGAAACAGAGTCTCACGCTGTTGCCCAGGCTGGAGTGCAATGGTGCGATCTCGGCTCACTGCAACCTCTGCCTCCTGGGTTCAAGCAACTCTCCTGCCTCAACCTCCATAGTAGCTGAGATTACAGGCACCTACCACCATGCTCAGCTAATTTTTTGTATTTGTAGTAGAGACAGGGTTTTGCCATGTTGGGAAGGCTGGTCTCGAACTCCTGACCTCAGGTGATCCACCTGCCTCTCAGCCTCCCAAAGTGCTGGGATTACAGGTGTGAGCCAGTGCACCTGGCCTAAACTTTTAACTTTGAAATTGCAAAAATAGTGGAGAGGTTGCATGTACTCATTACTCAACCTCCCCCAATGGTGACATCTTATATAACTACTGTTGATTGACACAGTACAACTAAGTAGACTACAATGATCTGATCTTACTCAGATTTCACCAGAAAAATCTTTTTTTTTTTTGGATATGGAGTCTCGCTCTGTCGCCCAAGCTGGAGTGCTGTGGTGCGATCTCAGCTCACCCACCGCAAGCTCCGCCTCCTGAGTTCACGCCATTCTCCTGCCTCAGCCTCCCAAGTAGCTGGAACTACAGGCACCCGCCACTGCGCCCAGCTAATTTTTTGTATTTTTAGTAGAGACGGGGTTTCACCTTGGTCTCGATCTCCTGACCTCGTGATCTGCCCACCTCGGCCTCCCATAGTACTGGGATTACAGGCGTAAACCACTACGCGTGGTTTTTTTTTTTTTTTTTTTTGAGACAGGGTCTATCTCTGTCACCCAGGCTGAGTGGTACAAAGGCTCACTGCAGCGGTACAAGGGCTCACTGCAACCTCTACCTCCAGGGGTCAAGCCATCCTCCCATCTCAGCCTCCCAGGCAGCTAGGACTACAGGTGTGCACCACCATGCCCAGATTATTTTTGTATTTTTTGTAGAGATGGGGTTTCACCAGGTTGCCAAGGCTGGTCTCCTACTCCTGGACTCAAGCAACCTGCCCACCTCGACCTCCCAAAGTGAAAAATCTGTTTTTGGAAAGCAAAATTAAAAAGCTTATAGATGAAAATATAGAAGAACATATTCATGACCCCAGAATGGAGAAAGAGTTCTTGAACCTTGAACCAGACAAGGACAAAGAAGAAAAGAATCGTACATTTGGCAACGTTAAAAGTAACTTCTGCTCATCAAAAGACACTGTCAAAGTCAAAATACAGAGATGAATCTCTAAATTTAAAAATTTTATTTGGGAAGCAAGAATTACAATTTGAGGTACACACACAGACTGGGCAGTCTTCAGTATGTCTGAAAAACAGAAGGTTGGAGGTTTTATAACAAGGAGGGGCATTATAAAAATGTTAGGTATTGTTTTGAGAATTTGGGGCACTGGCAACCTCTGACTGGTGAGTGCCAGTGAGTAAAAGTAGTCTTGGAGTCGCAGCAGGTGGTGTCAGTAGCTATAAGATAAGACTGGCTTCAGGTTGGAGCAGGCAGCCTCAGCAGCCAGGCTGCAGAGAATGACATTCCTGGAGCAGTGCTACGTGCCCTGGGTGCTTTCTCCCCGCCTGTCGACTCTGTTTTAGTTGGGTGTGATGAGAATGACCCAATGCATGTGCTCAACTTTCACAACACCATAAAAGTCATGAAAAGACAAGCTACAAACAAAATTATTTGCAGTGTCTGGAACTGACCAATAATTAGTATCCTAAATATATTTTTTAAAGTCCTGTGAATCAATAAGAAAAACTCCCAGTGGAAAGAAAGTATGGGCAAAATACCCAAACCAATACTTCACAAAAGAGGACCTACCCCTGACCAAGCACACAGATTCCTGAAGGGGAGATGAAGGCATTGTAGACTTCACCAGGTTCAAAAAGGCAGAGGAATGGCATAGGCCAGTGCAGGGCAATGACAGCAGGCTGTGCATAGAAACCCTGCCAGGCTGGTATTGCCACAGTGCAGACCGCGAGTGCCAGGGCAGGGCTTGGAGGGGTGGTGAGGGGCTGAGTGGGGGCAGGAAGGGGGGTGAGACAGGCACAGGCCATGAGCCAGATCAGGTCAGTTTCAGCCTTTCACTGCCAGCTCTCTGTCAAGGTCCCAGGTGTTGAAAGATGTTGTGTCTACCAGGAGGCATTCATCATCATCATATTCCTTTTGTTTTTTTTCTATCCTTTTAGTTAATTTTTTATACTTCTAAATTGCTATTATTTTTATCTTAGTATAGTCTTCATTACCAACCTTGTCTTTTGTTGTTTTGAGACAGGGTCTCACTCTGTTGTCCGGGCTAGAGTACAGTGGTGCCATCAGGGCTCGCTGCAGCCTCCACCTGCCTGGGCTTGTTTTTTTGTTTTGTTTTTGTTTTGAGACGGAGTTTCGCTCTTGTTACCCAGGCTGGAGTGCAATGTCGCGATCTTGGCTCACCACAACCTCCGCCTCCTAGGTTCAAGTGATTCTACTGCCTCAGCCTCCCCAGTAGCTGGGATTACAGACATGTGCCACCACGCCCGGCTAATTTTGTATTTTTTACTAGAGATGGGGTTTCTCCATGTTCGTCAGGCTGGTCTCGAACTCCCGACCTCATGTGATCTGCCCACCTCAGCCTCCCAAAGTGCTGGGATTATAGGCGTGAGTCACCATACCCGGCCCCTGGGTTTGTTTTTAAATAACATAAAAGCTGTACCTGACAGCGCACCCTCACCACGGTGTCCCAGGAAGCTGCCATGCAAGTTAGCTCTTGGCCTTCTGTCTCTTGCAGGATTCCCAGGTCAGAACACAGGAAATACAAGGTGCTGTACAACTCACAGCTGCTGTTCCGCAGCCGGCTCTATGGGGACCTGGAGGCCATCCTGTACCACGTGCACCTCTTCCAGCCCACGGAGCTGCTGCTGCAGCAGGCGGTGTTCTTCCTGCGAGACACTGAGCGGAGGCGGGTCTTCCAGGCTCTAGCCAGGTGGGCAGTGGCAGCTCGCATGTGGTCCTGCGCCCCGGCGGGAGGGGCACTTCTTAACACTCTGCACCCAAACAGGCAAGCTGGGGCATCCAACAACTAGATAGTGGCCCCAACAGATGGTGGGGGGAGGAGGACCATCCGCCCAGATGCTGTGACTCTGTGGCGTCTACTGTTCTTGGGGCATGTCCTAGAATTGCCTGAGGAGGGAGTGGCTGGTTAAAACCCATTTTCTAACCTGGGCAACAGAGCGAGACCTCATCTCCACAAAAATTTGTTAAAAATTAGCCAGGTGTGGGCTGGGCACAGTGGCTCACACCTGTAATCCCAGCACTTTGGGAGGCTGAGGTGGGAGGATGGCTTGAGCCCCGGAGTTTGAGACCAGCCTAGGCAACATAGTGAGACCCCATCTCTACTAAAAATACAAAAATTAGCCAGGTGTAGTGGTGCACGCCTGTAATCCCATCTACTTGGGAGACTGAGGCAGGAGAATCTCTTGAACCTGGAAGGCAGAGATTGCAGTGAGCTGAGACCGAGCCACTGTACTCCAGCCTGGGCGACAGTGAGACTTCCATCTCAGAAACAAACAAACAAACAAAAGCAAAAACAGGCCGGATGCGGTGGCTCATGCCTGTAATCCCAACACTTTGAGAGGCCAAGGCGGGTGGATCACCTGAGGTCGGCAGTTCGAGACCAGCCTGACCAACATGGAGAAACCCCATCTCTACTAAAAATACAAAATTAGCCAGGCATGGTGGCGCATGCCTGTAATCCCAGCTACTCGGGAGGCTGAGGCAGGAGAATCACTTGAACCTGGGAGGTGGAGGTTGCAGTGAGCCGAGATTGCGTCATTGCACTCCAGCCTGGGCAACCAGGGTCTCACCATTCCCTCATTGAGCAGCTGCTGGCTCACACTGGCTCTAGGGGGCCTGTGGGCACACCAGTCCCCACTCTCAGGAGGCTACAGTTCAGAAGCAGAGATGACATAAAGAACACAGGCAGTGGGATACCCTGGGACCCAGCGGGGGCACGGAGGAGGGGGCTGCTTCTTTCCCCAGGGCAGGAGAGGCTGCTGTTGAGGAAGGGCCAGAGATGTTCAGCAGGCAGACAGTTCACTTGCTGCTGGGTGTGGGGCAGGAGGTACAAACCCTGTCTTTATATTTTTAGAGCCAGCAACAGGTCTGGCCCTAGCTAGTGCTTGCTGGATGTATTAATGAAGGAGGAGGAGGAGGCTGGAGAGATAGGAAGGAGAAAGAACTTGGTCGGGGCTAAGAGGCTTTTCTTTGATTCTGTGGCCCTCACCTTTGGCATGTGGGGTGGTGCCACAGCATTTGGAAGGAGGCCAGACCCGGTCCTGCCTGGTAGGTGACAGGAGGTAGCTGAGGGTTCTATGAAGGAAACAGAAGAACACTTTTTAGGAAGTGCTTACTGCATCCAAGGTAGCTGCATCCATATGGCTTTATTTCTGTCTGAGGGTGAGGAAACCAGATTCAGAAAGGCTAAGGCTGGGCCAGGGTCACTGGGACAGTGAGTGCAAAGGCAGGCACCTACCGCACAGTGGACTTCGGAGGCAGCTGAGACAGTGAGCCGCCAACAGCCATGACTGAGCATGGTTTCTGGACCCAATGCCCACTGCACACCAGGCCATGGCAGAGGGCACCCAGGAGGAGGCTTTGGGGCTGGGGAGGTCCTTGAGCTTTGCTGAGGACTCTCTCTCCAGCCTCCTCCTTCTCCTCTATTAACAGCCAGCCCCCTGAGGCTCGGTGTATGATGTCCTCCTGGTGCGGAAGGCTCTGTGCTCTACATCCCTGATGGGCAGCTGGTGGGGCTGTGTCCCGATGGGGTATGGGAGGAGGGGAAGCATGGCTAAGGACACAGGAACAGAGCAGCACTCAGAGCAAACCGTGGGCAGCCTTTGGCTTCTGGGGGCTGGGGAGAAGATGGAGAAGGAGGCTTTTGCCAGGAGCCCAGGCTCAGCAGACTGGAATTGGAGCTCTTTAGTCACAAGCTCCAGGACTTGGGACCAGCTAAGCAGCCTCTGAGTGTTCATTTCCTGCTGTAGGATGGGAGTGATTACACCTGTCTTGCAAGGTAGGAGAGGTTCAGTGGGGCAGTGGTTCTTTGTTCCAGGATCCACGACATCTGCTATAACAGCACCACCCTCTGGGACGTGACGGTGAGGGACCTGCTGCCCTCCTCTGCTATGATAAAAGACTTGAGCCAAGAGTTTGGGATGCCCCTTTCGCAAGAAGAACTCACAGATGAGAAACTGTTTGCCCTACCACCTCAGCCTGCCCCCAATCTTGAGGACTACCACAGTCGGAACTCCACCCTCACCTTAGAGATCCACGCCCACCAGGAGAAGTACCTGCAGTGGCGGAGTGCCATGCTTATGAAGAACAAAGACAAAAAGCACAGTTTCATCCAGGTGGGCCGCCTTCCTCCCCAACTTGGGGTTCCCAGGCCTCACCTGGGCGGTCCAGGCGCCTGCTGAGAGGCATAGGGCATATTCCTGAGTGGGACATTTGCCTCTGGTCGTGCCTGCGCTCCTGGCCTGGGCTACCCTGCTGGATGGGCAAGAAGTGCAGGATGTGGGGCTGAGCCATGTCAGAAACCTTCACTCCCAGTCCTAGATAACCTTGTCCTTCCTGAAAGGTGAGAAGGAATGCTATTAGCTATATTACCTTTACCATGGCTCCCAGAGTTCATTGTAGAGAAAGAACTGTGGCATGTGTGTGTGTGTGTGTGTAACATGTTGCTTACGCTGCTCAGGGCATAAGTGTCATAAGATGTCCAAGCAACATGGGACATAAACTAATCTGCATGACAGAGGGAGAGAATGGGAGACTGAGAAGCTGGTGAGGGGGTAGAAGGCTGGTGCTGTGTGGCCTGAATGGGCAAGGAGAACCTCGCTCACCCCATGCCAACCAAAAAGACATGAAAACACAGACATCTGTGGTATGACTTGGAGTTGTGTGCCTGTGGTCTGTGTGAAGGCCCTACCATCCCTGCAATTCTCCAGTTTAAAACAAAGACTCCTAGAAGCTTGTAAGCTTTGTATGTGTGCAGTCTTTATGAAAACCAAAGAACAGACTTCTTTTATGTTTTTTGAATCGGGGTCTCACTCTGTTGCCCAGGCTAGAGTACTATGACTTGATCATGGGTCACTGCAGCCTCCAACTCCTGGGCTCAAGCAGTCCTCCCACCTCGGCCTCCTGAGTAGGCAGGCATGCGCCACCACACCTGGTTAATTTTTTTTACTTTTTTTTTAGAGATTGGGTCTTGCTGTGTTGCCTAGGCTGGTCTCCAGCTCCTAGGCTCAAGGGATTCTCCTGCCTCGGCCTCCCAAAGTGTTGGGATTACAGGTGTGAGTCACTGTGCCTGGCTGTTTTTTCCATTAGTGGAAAAAACTTTTTAGCTTTTTCAAAAGAATCAGTTCTTGGATTTATCAATTCTGCTTTTTCTGTTTTTCTAATTCATTAACTTCAGCTTTTATTTTTATGATACTTTAAAACTTACACCTTTCTCCTTTTTTCTATCTTCTCTAGTTGGCTATTTCATTCATTTTTATTTCTCTTGTGTAATATATATATATATATACACATACATACATATATATACATATATACATATACATACATACATATATATACATGTATGTGTATATATATATACACACATATATATATCTCATACCACTTTGGGAGGCCGAGGTGGGCAGGTTGCTTAAGCTCAGGAGTTCGAGACCAGCCTGGGCAACATGGCGAAACCGTCTCTACAGAAAATTAGCTGGGCATGCTGGCATGTACTTGTAGTCCCAGCTACTCAGGAGACTGAAGCTTGAGCCTGGGAAGCACAGGTTGCAGTGAGCTGAGATCACGCCATTACATTCCAGCCTGGATGGCAGAGTGAGACCCTGTCTCAATGCGGCACAGTGCCTAATGCCTGTAATCCCAGCATTTTGGGAGGTTGAGGCGGTCAGATCCCTTGAGGCCAGGAGTTCGAAACCAGCCTGGCCAACATGGCAAAACCCGTCTCTACTAAAAATACTAAAATTAGCTGGGTGTCGTGGTGCACACTTGTAATCTCATCTACTTGGGAGGCTGAAGCAGGAGAATCACTTGAATCTGGGAGGTAAGGTTGCAGTGAGCCAAGATCGCGCCACTGCATTCCAGCACTCAGAGCAACAGAATGAGACCCTGTCTCAAAAAAACAAACAAACAAAAAAAGTCAAACAATGTTGAGAGTATTTGCAGTCTTCCTTATCCTACCTCTTAATGCACTTAGATATGTACAAGAATATATATTCATTTCATGGGTTAATATAATTTTGTTAATGCCACATAACAAGGAAGTGTTTTAAATTTATTTTTATTTTTGAGACAGTCTTGCTCTGATGCCCAGGCTCGAGTGTAGTGGCGTGATCTCGGCTCACTGCGGTATCTGCCTCCCAGGCTCAAGTGATTCTCCTGCCTCAGCCTCCTGAGTAGCTGGGATTACAGGCACACACCACCATGCCTGCCTAATTTTTGTATTTTTAGTAGAGATGGGGTTTCGCCATGTTGCCCAGGCTGGTCTCGAACTCCTGGCCTCAAGTGATCCACCTCAGCCTCCCAAAGAGCTAGGATTACAGGTGACCACGCCTGGCCATGAGGAAGGGTTTTTAAAGATTTTGCAGGGCCAGGCACAGTACTCACACCTGTAATCCCAGCACTTTGGGAGGCTGAGGCAGGCGGATCATGAAATCAGGAGATCGAGACCATCCTGGCTAACACAATGAAACCCCATCTCTACTAAAAATACAAAAAAATTAGCTGGGCGTGGTGGCGGGCACCTGTAGTCCCAGCTACTTGGGAGGCTGAGACAGGAGAATGGCGTGAACCCAGGAGGCAGAGGTTGCAGTGAGCCAAATTCACGCCACTGCACTCCAGCCTGGGCGACAGAGCGAGACTCCATCTCAAAAAAAATGCAATAATATGGAGAATTTTATAATATAGTAGTATACAATTTATTTACTAGCCCCCTATCTCTTACAAATTTGCTAAAATCTCTTGTAAATATTGTTCCAGCTTTTTAAAAAATCATGTTCCTATTATCTTAGATATGGCTACTCTAAAATGGCTTTAAATTTCCTATTCATACTATAATAATTGAAACCCAACCATAATTTAATTTTTTCACATTTTTACACCTTGAGATATAATTTACATACCATAAAATTCACCTATTGTAAGTATATATAAATCAGTAGTTTTTAGTAAATTTATAGTTATAACACCATCATCACAATCCAGTTTTAGAACATTTCCATCACCACAAAAAGTATTCTCATGCTAGTTTACAGTCAATCTCTGCTCCATTCTTAGTCCCACATAACCACTGATCTACTTTCTGTCTTGATAGATTTGACTTGTCTGAATATTTCAGGTAATTGGAACCATATAATTATGTAAACTTTTGTGTCTGGCTTCTTTCACTGAGCATAAAGTTCCTGTGGTTCATCCACGTACCTGAATATATCAGCGGTGTGTTCTTTTTTTATTGCTAAATATTATTCCATTGAATTGATGTACCACATTTATCCATTCACCACTTTTTGGAATTACTATTATTTCTTGCTTGGGGCTATTATAAATATTGCTCCTATAAACATTTGCATACAAATCATTACGTGAAAATATGTTTTCATTTCTCTTGGGTAGAACCTAGGAGTGGAATTGCTGGGTCATATAGGTAGGTTTATATTTATGATTTTAAGAAATTACATTGTAAGAAAAGCGGTTTTTACAGTGTAGTTGCACAATCTTAACATCCCTACCAGCAATGCATGAGGGTTCTAGTTTCTCTGCATTCATACAAACACTTATCCGTCCTTTTGATTATAGCCATTCTAGTGTGTATCTCATGATTTTAATTTGCATTTTATAATGACTGACGATGCTAGATATCTTTTAATGTGCTTATTAGGAATTTATAACGCTTCTTTGATGTAATATATATTTGTATCTTTTTGAATTAATCTCTTTTTTCAAATTGAGACAGGGTCTCACTGTGTTACCCAGGCTGGTCTTGAACCCCTTGGGCTCAGGCAGTCCTCCCACGTTGGCTTCCCGAAGTGCTGGGATTACAGTTATGAGTCACTGTGCCTGGCCATCTGTATCATTTATCCATTTTAAAATCAAGTTGTCTTTTTATTGTTGAGTTGTTATATATTCTGGATACAAGTACTTAATGAGAAATATGATTTGCAAATATTTTCTCCATATTTGTGGCTTTTCTTTTTTTTCTTAATGGTATAAGAAAATTTTGAAGTATAAAAGTTCTTAATTTTAATAAATTCCAATTTATGTTTTTTCTGTTAGCAATCATGCTTTTGGTGTTATAGTTAAGGACTCTGCTTAAAGTTACGAAGATCATTTCATATCCTTTCTCTTACACTTACTCTTAGCTCTCACATTTAGATCTGTGAACCATTTTTTTTGAGGTCCAATGTAAGGGTCTAAATTAATCTTTTTGCATATGGATATCCAGTTGTCCTCACATCATTTCTTGCAAAGACTAGCTATTCCCCCATTAAATTGACTTAGCATCTTTTTGTCAAGAATTGACCATAAATGTAAGGGTGTATATCTGAGTTCTAAACTATGTTCCATTAACTTATATGCCTCTCCATATACCAGCAACACATTGTCTTGATGACTTTAATTATAGTTAGTTAGTTGGATTGTGTAAGTCCTTTAACTTTGTTCTTTTTCAAAATTGCTTTGACTACTTTGGGTCCTTTGCATTTCCACATATATTTTAAGATCAGCTTGCCAATTTCTGCAACAAATTCTATAGGAATTTCATGGGGATTTTGTTTATTTATTTTTTTTGGGACGGAGTCTTGCTCTGTCACCCAGGCTGGAGTGCAGTGGCACGATCTCGGCTCACTGCAAGCTTGGCCTCCCAGGTTCACGCCATTCTCCTGCCTCAGCCTCCCAAGTAGCTGGGACTACACATACCCGCCACCACTCCCGGCTAATTTTTTGTATTTTTTAGTAGAGACGGGGTTTCACCATGTTAGCCAGGATGGGGTCAATCTCTTGACCTTGTGATCCGCCTGCCTTGGCCTCCCAAAGTGCTGGGATTACAGGCTTGAGCCACCGCACCTGGCGGGGATTTTATTGAATCTATAGATTGATTTGGGAAAAACTGCCAAACTTAACAATTTTGGGGTTGCCAATTTATGAACATGGAATGTCTCTGCTGTTATTTAGGTCTTCAGTTTTCCTCAGAGATTTCTGTAGTTCTTAGTGTGCAAGTCTTGCACTTCTTTTGTGAAATTAATGGTGTTATGAATTGAATTACTTTTTGTATTGTTTCCATAATATAGAAATAGAATTAATTTTTTTTTTTTTTTTTGAGACAGAGTCTTGCTCAGTCGCCCAGGCTGGAGTGCAGTGGCACAATCTCCGCTCACTGCAAGCTCCGCCTCCTGGGTTCACGCCATTCTCCTGCCTCAGCTTCCTGAGTAGCTGGGACTACAGGCGCCCGCCACCACGCCCAGCTAATTTTGTTTTGTATTTTTACTAGAGACAGGGTTTCACCATGTTAGCCAGGATGGTCTCGATCTCCTGACCTCGTTGATCCACCCGCCTCGGCCTCCCAAAGTGCTGGGATTACAGGTGTGAGCCACCGCGCCCGGCCCTAGAATTAATTTTTTGTCCATTGATCTTGTATCTTACAACCTTTTGAACTGGATCACGTCATCTGTGAAGAAAGGTCATTTTCTTTTCCAATCTGGATACTCTTCCTTCCTTCCTTTCCTTCTGCCTGGGGTGCCACAAGCTCAGAGGCTCAAACAACAGAAAATTATTTCCTCACTATTCTGGAGGCTGGAACGTCCAAAATTAAGAGTCTGACAAGTTCGGTTTAATTCTGAGGCCTTTTCTCTTGGCTTGTAGGTGGCCACCATCTTGCTGCGTACTCATATGATCTCTTTGTTGTGTGTGAATGGAGAGAGTCTCTAATATCTCTCTCTTTTTTTTCTTTTGAGACAGAGTCTTGCTTTGTCACCAAGCTGGAGTGCAGTGGTGCAATCTCGGCTCACTGCAACCTCCACCTCCCGGGTTCAAACCATTCTCCTGCCTCAGCCTCTCAAGTAGCTGGGACTACAAGCATGCGCCACCACACCCAGCTAATTTTTGTATTTTTAGTAGAGACAGGGTTTCACCATGTTGGCCACACTGGTCTCAATCTCCTGACCTTGTGATCTGCCCGCCTCAGCCTACCAAAGTGCTGGGATTACAGGTGTGAGCAACCTCGCCCAGCCTCTGATGTCTCTTCTTGCAAAGACACTAATCCTATCAGATCTGGGCCCCAACCTTATGACCTCATTTAACCTTAATTACTTCCCTACTCCAAATAGAGCCAGGCTGGGGTTTAGAGCTTCAGTAGAGGAATTTGAGGGTGAAGACATTCAGTCCATAACACTTCCTTTCCTTGCTCTTTTCTTCCTTCTCTGTCCTTCCCTTTCTCCCTTTGCATTGTCTAGAATGTCTGGTATAAAGAAGTGCAGTGTTGAAGAGGAGTGGTGAGAGCAGACATGCTTGCCTTGCTTGTGATCTTGGGGAGAAAGTATTCAGGCTTTCTCCCCAAGCCTGAATGCAGTGGTGTGATCTCAGCTCACTGCAACTTCTGCCTCCTGGGTTCAAGCAGTTCTCCCTGCTTCAGCCTCCTGAGTGGCTGGAACTACAGGTGTGTGCCACCATGCCTGGCTAATTTTTGTATTTTTAGAGACAGGGTTTCACCATATTGGCCAGGCTGGTCTTGAACTCCTAACCTCAGGTGATTCACCTGTCTCAGCCTTCCAAAAGTGCTGGGATTACAGGCTACAGGCGTGAGCCACCATGCCCAGCCACATTCAGGCTTTAATGTCTGTCTCTCTCTCAATAATGTTGAGCACCTTTTCACGATTGGCTATTTGGATATCTCCTTTTATAAAGTGCTTGTTCAAATTTATTTATTTTCTCCATTTAAAATAAATCTAGTTGTATTTTTCTAATTGACAGTGTTTTACTTTTATTCAAATGAGTTGTTAGATGTGTATCTTTTCCCAGTCTGTGACTCGTCTTTTCATTGTTTCAGTATTGAGAAGTGTTTGTGAGTATCAGTTAATTTTTCTGTGATTAGATTTTTTGGGTATTTTTCCTGGGTTTAGAATTCTAGCTTGGCAGTTATTAACACTTTAAAGACATCATTCCGTTGTCCTCTGACTTCCATTGTTTCTGTTGGTCAGCTGCCAGTCTTGTTCTTTTGAAGATAATTTGGTTGTCTCTGGCTGCTTAAATTTTTTGTTTTTATTTTCTTTGGTTTTCGGCAGTTTTATGATGATGTTTGTAGGTGTGTTTTTCTTTGTATTTAACTTGCCATGGGTTTCTAGAACTTGTTAAATCTGTAGCTTGATTTTTTTTAAGTTTTAAAAGTTCTAGGACAGTATTTCTCTTCAGATATTACTTATATTCATCTTCTCTTCCTCTCCTCCTGGGACTCCAATGTTAGATATTTTCACCATGATCTGCATCTGATATTACTTATACATCTCATACTTTTTATTTTACAGTCTTTTTTTCTCCTTTTCATCCTTCAACCTGATTATTTTCAACCAATATATCTTCTGATGCAGGGGTCCCCAACCCCCAGGCTATGGAACAGTAGCAGTTCGAGGCCTGTTAGAAACTGGGTGGCACAACAGGAGGTGAGAGTGGGCAAGTGAGCATTACCACCTGAGCTCCACCTCCTGTCAGATCAGTGGTGGCATTAGATTCTCATAAGAGCATGAATACTATTGTGAACTGAACATGCAAGGGTTCTAGGTTGCATGTTCCTTATGAGACTCTAACCAATGCCTGATGAGCTGAGGTGGAACAGTTTCATCCCCAAACCATGCCCATACAACCCTCTCCCACTGGCCATGGAAAAACTGTCTTCCACGAAACCAGTCCCTGGTGCCAAAAAGGTTGGAAACTGCTATTTTGCTAAATCACTAATCTTATCCCCTGCTGTATGTTGGGGTGATCAGACCCAACACCAGGCTGTGGGGGCCACAAAGTCCAGCGGAGTCAAAGGAATGAGACAAAACAAGTTAAGAGTGCATAAAGTGGGACTAGGGGGCCAGTGCTAGTATGGAGGCTGTGAAGGTCCCAAGTTCTGGAAGCCTGCACTATTTATTGGTGATCAAACAAAGAAGCAGGTGGTGAGGATGTGGGGGTTGAAAGAAAGCAGTGTATCAGCACATGATCTATAGCTGTGACAGTTTAGCATTTTCTTTGAAGCATGTGGAACATGTTCTGCTACTTGAGATAATGGGAAACATGTTCTTCTAGTTTAAGATACAATCGGTCGGGCGTGGTGGCTCACGCCTATAATCCCAGCACTTTGGGAGGCTGAGGCAGGCAGATCACCTGAGGTTGGGAGTTCGGGACTAGCCTGACCAACATGGAGAAACCCCATCTGTGCTAAAAAAAATACAAAATGAGCCGGACGTGGTGGTACATGACTGTAATCCCAGCTACTTGGGAGGCTGAGGCAGGAGAATCACATGAACCCAGGGGATGGAGGTTGCAGTGAGCCAAGATCGCGCCATTGCACTCCAGCCTGGGCAACAAGAGCGAAACTCTGTCTCAAAAAAAAAAAAAAAAAAAAAAAAAAAAAGATACAATCGTTCTATGAGCCTGGGAGTGCTAGAAGGAAGGAGCCAGCAAGTCTAGACACATTCCAGAGGCCGCAAGGGGTTTTATGCCCTGAGCCCTGGATTCCATCCAAGCCATGAGGGGTTTTGTGCCCTGGGCTTAGATTGTGGTGCAGCAGGGCAGCCTTCCACCCTTTGGCACAGAGCTTGGTGTTCCAAAGGCCATGAGGGGTTTTGGACCCTGGACCCCAGACATGTTCCAAGACTCTTTTACATTATATCAGACATGCAAGTCCTGCCTCAGCTTTTTTCCCAACACTCAGCTTTTCCCCAACATGCCCCCTTTTCTTTTTTGTAAAACCGCCACAGCTATCATAGCTTGTTCTCGACGGCAGCTGTCTCTCCCGAGGTGGCTTCCGCATCTGCAGACTAAAAGGAGACAGCACAAACACATAATTATTAGAACAAAATCTGCCAAGTATAGAGCTTCCAATGGCCTTAATCCATTTAAGAGGATTGATTGTGGACAACCCATTGGCTGTCTTGTTCAAAATATCAGTTCCAGGGAGCAGGGCTAAGTGAGCCTGAGAGGCTTCAAAAACCTTCTCTTTTAGTTTTACAATATCAAGGGTGAGATTTTCATCTTTGCCCTCCAGATGGCATTTAAGAGTAACATTTCCTATTGCTAGCATAAAAGGTGGCCGAACACAACTTTGAATCCAAAAGGTCTTTCTGTTTTTAAATTAATTGAGCAAGGCAATTGCAGGCTGTTCAGCCCTTAATTGCCAGTTGGTGATCCAGCTTCATTTGTCTTAGCCCTTATTCAAAATGTAGTCGCTCTGGTTTGAATGCTTCTTACATATTTCCCCCTTCCCTTTTACAAAAGGACCTTTAATCCTAAGGGCTGCAGAAGGATGAAGGTCCATCTTCTGCAACTTCTTCATGCTGAACAGGGGCGATGATATTCCTGCCTATTAGGGTCTCTTGTATTCAGGGTAGAGAGGAGCTCAGTCAGAAAGCATTGGTCCATTAAGCATCTGTTGTGCCCCTGAGTTCCTGCAAAAGGTAAAACCCTGGCGCTGCAGCAGTTTCTCAGCTTCCTGTGTGGTTTTCTTGATCTGCCCCCATGTTATGGGGGTTGATGTCAGCGTGACTCCAGTCGGTCCTCATTCCATCTTCGCATTCAGATTCAACTGGCCCATGGCTCGTACTGGGGGAACCCCCTCCATGGTTGGGTCCCTCCAGTCTCCTGTTCCATGGTCGTACACATCTTGAGGGCACCCACACGGCTTGTTCATCTCCTGCAAAAACACAAGCATACCCTCAACCCCACGTTAGTAAATCTAGCGAAACAGAAGCAAAAACTTTTGTGGCTGTAGCTGGGAGGCATACCATTGGTGAAGCATTTGTTCTACAAGCTGTAACTCAGCTTCTGCCTCTTTGGTTAATTACCATGGGGTAAAACTTTCCACTGATAATGAGAAGCAGGCCCCTTCTAACAGAAGGCACAGAGAGCAAATCGAAGCTTATCCTTCTTGTGCAACAGTATAGCAAAAAAGCAATCCTTAAACCTTAAATTTGCACCATACAGGTGGGTCCACTAGATGCTGTGGCTCATGATAGATCTTCAGATGTTTGGTGGGCACTCCATTGTTGCAATAAGTCTCTACCTCATAAATTGATAGGAATAGGTGTAATAATAGGTTGAATTGTTCCTTCCTGGCCATCTGGCCCGTGACATGGTAAAATCAAGGAACTTTGAAAAACTTCTGAAGCAGGCCCTATGCCAGTGATACCCATGGAAGTCTTTTGTTTGGGCCAGTGTTGGGGCCATTGATTTAAAGCAATAATAGAGACATCAGCTTCAGTATTTACTAGTCCTTCAAAATCCTTTCCCTGAATAGTTACTGTACAAATAGGTCTTCTGTCAGACACTAGATTAACCCAATATACAGCCTTTCCTGCTGGATTACTACCAAAGCCTCCTGTTCTTTTCACTGTGCTGCTTCCTAGTTTTGTGTAAGGTAACAGCAATAACTAAGCAATTCTTTCTCCTGGGGAAGAAGACCACTGAGTCGAGGAACTAATAACTAATTGAATTTTTTTTTTTTTTGAGATGGAGCCTTGCTCTATTGCCCAGGCTGGAGTGCAGTGGCACGATCTTGACTCACTGCAAGCTCCACCTCCTGGGTTCACTCCATTCTCCTGCCTCAGCCTCCCTGAGAGCTGGGACTACAGGTGCCCGCCACCATGCCCAGCTAATTTTTTTTTTGTATTTTTAGTAGAGACGGGGTTTCACCGTGTTAGCCAGAATGGTCTCGATCTCCTGACCTCGTGATCTGCCCACCTCAGCCTCCCAAAGTGCTAGGATTACAGGCATGAGCCACCGCGCCCAGCAAACTAATTGAATTTCTCCGGTATAATCAGAGTCAATTATTCCCGTATGCACTGACACCTCTTAAATTTAAACTAGACCTTCCAAGTAACAGACCAACTGTTCCTGAGGGTAAGGGTTCCCTAACACCCGTGGGGACCTTCTTTGGTGGCTCCCCAGGAAGGAGATGGGAATTGTGCTGCAAAGGTCTATAGCAGCACTGCCTACTATGGTGGGAGACAATTGTTGTATGTTTGTAAGGGCACTGGCTGTGCCGGATATGCCTTGGTTTGTTGAGGGGCCTGAGGCAGGCCCCTCTTCCCATTTCCCGAAAGAGGTTGTCCATCTTTGCTAAATTTAGAATGACACTGATTTGCCCAGTGATTGCCTTTCTTACACTGGGGGCATACACTGGGACTTTTCTGTTGATTGATGGTAGTTTTTGCCTTTTGATTTCCTTTTCTACATTCCTTTTTTCTGTGTCCAAATTGCCCACAATTGAAACAATGGCCCAAGAAATGGGGCATATTCTTTCCTACTTTCAATCCAGCCATAGCCTGAGCTAAAAGATTAGCCTTATGTAAGTTACCTCCAATGCCATCGCAAGCCTTAATACATTCAGCTAACTGAACCTTCCCTGTCAGGGGTCTAATAGCAGTTTGACACTGCATTAGCATTATTGTATGTAAGAAGCTGTATTAAAACATCCTGAGCAGAATGTTTGCTTTCACTTTGTGCCATTGTTACCCTGGTCCTTCCGAGTGCTCAGCTTTCCTGCTGAGCTTCTTTCAGTCGTCCTCGGGTGTCCTCTGATGATGCATCCTCTTTCACACACTCTAGTGTTCCTTCACTGGGGTGTTCGTTGCCTCATATTGGGCGCCAGGAATGTTGGGGTGATCAGACCCAACTCCAGGCTGTGGGGACTATGAAGTCCGGCAGAGTCAAACAGATGAGACAAGAGTGCATAAAGTGGGACCAGGGGGCCAACACTAGTATGGAGGCTGTGAAGGCCCCGAGCTCTGGAAGCCCACACTATTTATTGGTGATCAAAGAAGCAGGTGGTGAGGATGTGGGGGTTGAAAGAAAGCAGTGTATCAAGTGCATGATCTACAGCTGTGATGGTTTAGAATTTTCTTTGAAGCATATGGAACATGTTCTGCTACTTGAGATAATGGGAAACGTATTCTTCTAGTTTAAGACACAATCGATCTATGAGCCTTGGAGTGCTAGAAGCAAGGAGCCAACAAGTCGAGACACATTCCAGAGGCCACGAGGGGTTTTATGCGCTGTTCCCTGGATTCCGTCCAAGCCACGCCCTTGTGGCTTGTGCCCTGGGCTTAGATTGTAGTGCGGCAGGGCAGCCTTCCACCCTTTGGAACAGAGCTTGGTGTTCCAAAGGCCACAAGGGGTTTTAGACCCTGGACGCCGGACATGTTCCAAGACTCTTTTACGTTACGTCAGACATGCAAGCCCTGCCTCAGCCTTTTTCCCAACACTCAGCTTTTCCCCAACACTGTGTCCAAGCTGCAATTAAACCCATCCACTGGATTGTAACTTTAATGATGATTTCTTCAATTCTATGATTTCCATTTATTTTTTCTATAGGTTCCAGGTGTCTGGTGAAATTCTCATTTTCATTTATTTTGATTAATCATAATTATTTTAATTTTTTTTTCTTGAGATGGAGTCTTGCTCTGTGGCCCAGGCTAGAGTGCAGTAGCACTATCTTGGCTCACTGCAAACTCCGCCTCCTGGGTTCAAGCAATTCTCCCTGCCTCAGCCTTCTGAATAGCTGAGATTACAGGCACCTACTGCCACACCCAGCTAATTTTTGTATATTAGTAGAAACAGGGTTTCACCATGTTGGTTAGGCTGGTCTCTAACTCCTCACCTCAGGTGATTCACCCACCTCAGCCTCCCAAAGTGCTGTGATTACAGGCATGAGCCACCATGTCCAGACTAGTTTTAATGTTCTTGTCTGATACTTCCAATATCTGGATTACCTGGGGTCTGTTTCTATTGTCTTTTTTCTTGGTTTCCATCTTTTCATCCTGTTACCTGGCATGTCTGTTATTTTTTGTTAAATGGTAAAGAGGGTATTGAAAACTATAGAGACTCTTGATGTCTTATTCCAGAGATGATAAAGCAGGAGACAGAGGACAGATAAATCTCCTTAATCAGAGTCAGGCTTGCCCTTACTCCTAAAGCAGATTTTCTGAATTCTAAACTGGAGGCCTAGAGGTACCAGGGCCCTTCCTCCTTGGCACAATTTCCAATTTTGAAATCCAATTTTGTTTCTCTAGCAATGCAGCATTTTCCAAAATACCTCCTTAGCTTCTAAACTTCTTAAGCTTCTTTTTCTGCTTATGTTCTTATTTCTGCCTTATCCATGTGCAAATTAGGAGTCAGTAAATCCCTTGAGAGAAAACTGCAAAAAGAAAATGGAACCACCATTATTTCCCTTTTCTCCAGATTCTTGGACTCTCAAATCCTGGTTGCCTTGGTTGTTCTCCAGTGATGTTAGATAGATGTCTATTTCTTCTTGTAATCCTGTCAGTTGTTTCTTAATATATTTTGAGACTATATTGCTAGGTGCATATATATTTACAAGTTATCCCTTTTTGTTGTCCTCAATATACAATATCCTTTTGCCCCTTTTGATAGATTTTTAACTTGAATTGTTTCAGCAGATATTAAGAATGCCACACAGCTTTTTTGTCTTTGTTTTCTCATGCCTTTTTGCCTAGTGTATATGCTGTCTCCCTTTAGTTGTCAAACCTGTATCTTTGTGTTGAAAGTTTTGTAGATAGCATATTGTTAGCTTGAAAAAAAAATCCAGGCTGGGTGCAGTGGCTCACGCCTGTAATCCCAACACTTTGGGAAGCTGAAGTGGGTGGATCGCTTGAAGTCTGGCGTTCGAGACCAGCCTGAACATGGTGAAACCCTGTCTCTACTAAAAATACAAAATTAGCCAGGCGTGGTGGCACACGCCTGTAATCCCAGCTACTTGGGAGGCTGAGGCAGGAGAATCACTTCATCTCGGGAGGCGGAGGTTGTAGTAAGCCAAGATCGCGCCATTCCACTCCAACCTGGGCAACAAGAGCAAAACTCTGTCTCAAAAAAAAAAAAAAAAAAAAAAAATCCAATCTGAGATTCTTTAATTGGCAAGCTTAACATTAATTACTGTTAGGTTAGGCATTTTTGCCACCTAATCTACTTTTAAACCCTCCGTTCCTGTGTTCCTTGGATAGATCAAGTTTTCTTCTGTGGACTTAAGTTATACATTCTATCTTTCTTTTTAAGGTGGTTATCCTGAAGACCATATGGTTAGGCATTCCTACTGAACATTAAACTCATAAAACTATATTCTCTTTATAAGACAAATTGTACATTTACATCCCTTTTATCTCATCTCCTACCCACACTCCACCATCCCTTTTATAGTCTCTAGAATTTCAATTCCAGGCTCTGAAATTTTATTTTCCTAGTCCTTTTAAGACAACTTTACTAGGCTATCGGACATTACTTGCTAACCTTGAATCCTCCTGCATGTTCCTCCTCCATTTTGAATTTCTCCAAAGAGTTTTGTGACTTTTGTTTTGTTTTTTTGAGACGGAGTCTGGCTCTGTCACCCAGGCTGGAGTAGAGTGGCATGATCTCGGCTCAATGCAACCTCTGCCTCCTGGATTCAAGCGATTCTCCTGCCTCAGCTTCCCAAGTGGCTGGGACTACAGGCGTGTGCCACCATGCCCAGCTAATTTTTGTATTTTTTAGTATGGAAAGGGTTTCACTGTATGTTGGCCAAGCTGGTCTTGAACTTCTGACCTCAGATGATCTGCCTGCCTAGGCTTCCCAAAGTACTGGGATTACAGGCATGAGCCACCACATCTGGCCCCAAGAGTTTTTAAAGGAGGGTTTTATGTAAAACCTAAGGCCTTTAAACCTAAGCCCTCACAATTAGTTTGCTTGGATATGAAATTGTAGGTTGAAGTTAACTTACCTTGTTGCTGTTGTGGATCTGATCACAAGTGATAGTTTTTCTTTACAGGTGGCCTGCTCTTTTCCTCTAGAAGCTTTGAGAGTTTATCTTTGTATTTGTTTGCTTAAATCCCACTAATAATAGTGTACCCAGGCTTGGAAGTTTTGTCTTTTCTGACATTCATTATTGCTTCAAATTTTCTTGTTCTCACTTTTCCCCTCCTTTTGGGATTTCTGTTATTTGGATGTTATTTCCATCCTCTATACTCAGTTTCTAATTTTATCTTTTTTATACAGGACTGCTTTCTGAAAGCATATCTCAAGTGGATATTCCAGTTCATTCATTCGTTCTACAACAGTATCACTTCTGCAATATATCTCATTCTCTTGTCTTCTATTTCAACTATTTTCATACTCAATACTTTTTCTTTTAGTTTTACTTCTGCTTCATATTGCTATCTTCACTCTTATTTTAAAACAATTTCTTATGTTAAATTCTTAGCCCATCTTTTCCAATAATTTAGCTTCAGTTGTTCAGTCTGTGGCCTTTTTTAAATACTGTATTTACTTCTCCAGCATCTAGTTACTTTTGCTCTGAGTCCAAATTCTCCTGCAGGTGTCACCCCTCAGCAGAGAATCTCAGGCACCCAGAAGAACTACGGAACAGTTTGCTTTCCCTGTAATAAGCATTAGGTCAGAATTTCAACTTCAAATTGTAAGAAAGGAGTAGCATGGAAAGAAGAATCTGTCCCCCTAGGTTGTAATTCACGAATTCTAGGATTTGGAAGGAGCAGGGGACTTCTAGGAATGGCTAACTGAGAAACTCAGATCAACTCCCCCACTAAGGACAACTAGAAAAACTGGACACATCAAGAAATATTGATTGAAGTTCCATGTGGGCCATGACAGGATCCTTGCTCTATGTGGCATCCCTAGTATAATCTTCTCGCAGGTGCTCCAAAGTCTGAGGACCTAGACTTGCCTTTACCTTGCATCCCTTGTTGCCTGGACAGTCTGTTCTTTCATGTGTGTGAATCACAAATTTTGTCCTCCCCTGATTATTTTAAATTCTTGTGCATTAATTCCTCAAAGATTCCAAAGTCAAGCCACTGTAGTTGAGCTAAGGTCACCATCTTGTGCTAAAAAATTTTTTAAAGGTAAAAGATGGTATTTTGCTGAAGGTTACTGTGAAATATGCATATGAAACACTGCACAGTGCCCAACAATTTAGAGTGGTAACTTTCCCAGTTCTCCCTTGTTTTGGGTCCCAGCCACCTTTCCCCCCAGCCTTCTGTGTTGTCTTTTATCTCCTTCCACATTTCTATTTTCATTCACAAAGGAAGCCAACAGACCATCTTATTTCTCTCTGTTCAGGGAAGAGTTCCCATTTCCTTACTGGGCCTGCTGGACAGAATGAGGGTCATAATCCTTATGCACACTTGACAGTTAACCATGGTCAAGGATGGCAGTCCTTGCTGCTTTAGGTTGTAATATCCCCTGTCCACACTCTCCTACTTCTGACCATGTGAGACACAAATTCTGTCTTTATCACAAGGTGGTTGGGAGATGAGTGGCCAGATGATGTGTGTTCCAGTTACAGTGACCTTAGGGGTCTCAATTTTTTGGTCCTCTTAAATTCCATTTTGGATAGTGAGAGGTTGGACTAGTTGGCCCTTTGCCCTGGTTCTATGATGAAATAACAGCACCAGTATTGAAGAATCAATCAATACCTGCACCACAGCTAAGTCCCAGAGATCATCTCACTGCATATGAGCTGGCATGGGGGGTGAGGATGACCTGGTGTGGGTAGTGACTGGTGTCTCTTTCTTCAGAAAAATATCACAGAAGCCTACCAGGTCAGCAAGAAGCCTCCGAAGTCCGTGGCGAAGGTGATTAAAATTTCAGCCCCTGCCAACAAGGCCGTCTACAACTATAGTACCCAGACCATGAATTCTACAGAGCTTGCCAAGAAGGAGCTGTATCAAGAGATAGCCAAGGTGAGAGACCCAGACAGGATGATGGCAGTTGGCAAATCCCATGAGTTCTTTATTCTGACCATGCCTGCCTGGAGGTCAGTGGGGGATCTCAACTATACAGATGAAAGCCAATCAGCTAGGGGAAGTAGACAAGGCTCAGATGTTGAGAGGTGTTCTGTTCCACACTAAATGTGAATCCTCCACACCTGAGGGTAAGCCCAAGATCCTCAATGTAAGCTCAGATGTACATAAAGGAGAACAACTGTAGCATCCTTACCTCTGGGGAACACTTTATGATTGCTGCTTATCAAGGCAGCTACCAACAGAAGGGAAAGCCATGGTTTAGGCTTCCAGCACATATTAACTTTAGGAAACGGCTTCTCCCATCAAAGGGGACAATAATATGTCCCTTACAGGGCTACTGCACAGTCATTTCCTCTCAATGCACTATTTACATTGTCAGGAACTATGATTATGCCCCCAGCTGTTTCTGATTCCTACTTGGAAATAAATCCAAGATTGCTATTAGCCCTTCCACCCCAACCTGTCTGCCCCCATTTCTAGGAGCCAAGAAAGAGATTCACGTACTCACAGGATTACCTCTCAGCCATGGTGGAGCCCCTGGACTTGAAGGAAGAGGAGAAGAAAGCCCAGAAGAAATCCCGCCAGGCCTGGCTCACAGCCAGGGGATTCCAAGTGACAGGTCTTCAGAGCGACACCGAAAGCAGCTTTCAGGATCTCAAGCTGCCACCCATCAAAGAGCTGAATGAGGTCCACAGGGAAGAGCAGGGTCTCAGGTGGGGTGTCCATAGGGACCTTTCTCCTCCTGATTTACTTACTCCCCCAATTTAGGAGTGGAAGGAAAACTCCCTGTTTGCTAATGTACTGGAGCCTGTGTTGGATCGAGACAGGTGGAGCTGGGACAGGCACCACGTGGACTTTGATCTGTACAAGAAACCACCACCTTTCCTCGAGCTGCTCCCTTCGCCCGCACCAAAGCCTGTAACAGGTAACAGGCAAGGGTTTGCCAAGCTGGGCCTCCTGATGCCGTGGGCAGGCAGGAGCTCTGTGCCACTCTGCATCTTCAGTGGTATCCATTTTGTTTACACTATCAACCAAACTTTCTATGCTAAGAAAAGCAAGATGCAGAATGGGTCTGAAAAAAGAGATTGAATGCTGGGCTGGAACTCAGACCAGGATTCTAGCCCCAAGTGTGACATTTGTGTGACTTGAGGCAAATCCCTTCATGCCCTGGGTCTGGTTTCTTGGCTATAAAGTGGGGAAGTTGGAAGACAGGTCTAAAGGCTTCCTGAGCTTCAACACTATTACCCATGACTGATCTCTAGGTGTCCAGCCAAGAGCTGGGGGCAGAGGCTCTGGGCTTCACTGGGACCTTCCAGCGGCAAAGATACTGACAGTTCTTTCTTTGGGGTAAGGCAGAGACAGGAAACGTAGGTCTTGCTGTACCAGTCCCTCCAAGTCCTCTTCCTCTTTATCCCTGTTTATGAAAATTGATCTCAGGATCATCTGGAGGTTAACATAGAACCCAAACTTGGTTAACAGAGCCAGAACCTTTGTTCAGGGAGAAAGAGACATGAGCCTATCTAAAAACAAGGTCTGCCAGAGAAACTTCTCCCAGAAAACTAGGTCAGGTGAACGTGATGGCTTCCTCTCCTCCTCGACTCCTAAGGACAACTGATCACAGCTCCATGGAAGTGCTAACAAGTTTGCTGAAATGTCACTTTCTCCATTTGCCTAGACTTGGCTCCCTCCCTCCCCAGTAGGCCCTAGATCTCCCAGGTTGCCTGAAGAGACCTGCTCTCTGTGGGCATGTCCCAGGCCCACAGTTACTGCTGTGGCTCTCAAGGAGGCTCCAGCTAGGAGAGCTGTCTAGCCTAAGAACACAAGGCTTTTCCTTGGTAAGAAGGCTTCCTAGTGAGCTCCACTGCCAGCCTTCCCAGCAAAAGTCTCCTGGGGGTTTCACTGGTGAAATCACTTAAGAAACACTTGCTGGGGTCTCCTCTTCCCACAACATGTTTAAGAAAAGTTAGCAACTACAGATGAGAGGGAGAGGCTTGAACTGGTCGCTAGGCCTTTTCAACCCAGATGGATGAATGGAGAACTTGCCATTCTCCATTGGCATGTAAGACTGAGGCCTTACACGCCACCAGCCTAGAGTGAAGCCCCCTTCCAGAAGGCTGCACAGAAGGGGGGTGGGTCTGACAGCCCCTCCCCAAACTTCTCCTGTGCAAAGAAACTCTAAGCAGCCTTCTGTCCAGAGGTATGCATGCTTCATTTTGTGCAAAATGCTGCCCTGCTATCACTAACAGAACTTCAGGTTTCACTGAGAGGTTATTTACACGGTCACAATATTTACAAACTTTCCCCATTTTAAAAACTAGTTACCAAACCCCTGGCAGAATGCTCAGGCCAGCCCCACTCAGCCAGCTCAGCTCTCCAAGTTCCCAGTCTCCTCCTTGCCTATTTCCAGCATCACAGTAAATTGGGAATATACTTGGAGGAAAAAGAGTCGGCTGCCTTCTCTGTGCTCAAGGGAGTGTCCACAATAGGCATTTTAGAGCTCCAGACCACCCAAGGACCACATCAAAGCTTAAAGTTCACCACAGTGAGCACGCTGGGACCTGGTGTAATCTTTCAAGTGCCAGCAGAAGGGAGGCTGGAGAAATGCAAAGGCCTGCTGGCCTGGAGATACCATTCATCCTCTCCTCAAGAGTAGAAGCCAGTTCTTGTAAAGAAACTAAAGTCCCTAGGTGGGAACATCATCAGCTGAGACAGCCTCCCCATCATCTCCTGAGAAGGATAAAAACTAAGGGCTCATAACCCCAAGGGATTGTGGCCTGCACTGTGTGTCTGCTCCTTAGCATTCTGGGCCCTCCTTGCAGGGTGAGGACAAAGGGGACCCGAGGCCATCACCAAAGGGTGGTTCTCAGGGTCCTGCTGTCACCCATTAAAGGCTGGTTCTAAGGAACAGTGTGACAAGTACAGCAAAGGCTAACAGTACACAGATTGTGACATTTTATATTCTTTGTTAAATGGTTCCTGGTACATGTTTTAAGTGCCTCTGCTTCTAGTTTAAATGAATGACCCAGACAGAGCTTTCAAGCTGTTTCTTAGAGAATGTGTGGTTGAGCAGAAATGGCTATCCACACCTGACACAGGTCCCCACCCACCTCACACCCTGGAGGCAGCAGCATAAGCCCCAGTTTCCACTATGGTGTCTCCTCAATGACCAGAATACCCGCCAGTTCCAGGGGTCAGCAATTCCATTCTCTCTCTCCGGCTCAGTTCAGAAGCTGTGATGGTCCTGTTAGAGAGCACTGCCTGCAGGTCAAAACCTGGAAGAGGCTCTCCCAGGCCAGGCGACAACCCTTCAGGTGCAGACGGGGAACAAAAGGCTTAACCTGTGATAATCCCAACACCTTCTGAAAAAAGAGTAACAGTCATCCAGCAACGGGCCATGGGTAGGGGCGGGCGGTAGCAGGGGACACTGTCCCCTGCCTCAGCATGTCCTGTCCAGAGGGTGGGCACAGATATAGGCTCGCTTCTCAAGGATCTGCTGGGACACTTTCTTAATCTGCTCATCTAGGTTTTCTGGAGCATCTGGGAAGGAAAAGGAGAGATGGTGGGTGATCTTTCTGCACCGTGATAAGACAAACATGGCTGAAGTGGGGGCATTTTTCCACAAAGTCAGCCCACCCACCATGAAGCAGCCCTAAGGGTGAACCCCTCCTCCAGACCCCCAGCAAGTGATTCAGGGCTGCAGGGAGAGAAAGGGGTACAGCTTCATTCTCAGTTACAAAGGACTCATCCTGCTCATCTCTAACCCCCAGATCTCATGGGGTGGAGCCGGCACTTGCTCCGTAAACAGCCCATCTGTGATTCCAGCCCACTGGAGGAGAAACCATTTCAGCACCCTCCACAGCACATAACCTGTCAGCACTGGGGGGGTGTCTGGGCTACCCCCAGGGCTAGGACCTGCAAAAAATCATATGCCACTCTCAGCAAGTGCCACAGTGCTGGCGCCTACACCCATCACTTGGCAACACGACTGGGCTTTGTGGGGACACTGATCCAGAACCTCAGGTCA
Source organism: Homo sapiens (assembly GCF_000001405.40). NCBI lineage: Eukaryota > Metazoa > Chordata > Mammalia > Primates > Hominidae > Homo > Homo sapiens. The sequence continues at coordinate 128,912,019 of NC_000003.12, read as the reverse complement.
ACAGGACTGTGAGGGTCAGAGGTAGACTGAGCTGGGCATTCCTAGATATGGTCGAGTGGCTATAGAAGAGGAAGAGCACTGCAGACAGAGCGGGGAGCACGAGCAAAGCCCTCTGTTCTCTAGGCCAAGGCCTGAGACCTCTGCAGGGCACTGCAGGGTCATTTTGGATGGAGTACAGTGGGTAAAGGGGCAGGTAAAATGCTGTCTCCAGAATCAGGTACAACCAGATGCTCCTCCCTTCGTGAGCCTTCCCCGGGCAGCTTCAAGAATACAGCCAGGGCTGGGCACAGTGGCTCATGCCTGTAATCCCAGCACTTTGGGAGGCCAAGGTGGGCGGATCACCTGAGGTCAGGGGTTGGAGACCAGCTTGGCCAACATGGTGAAACCCTGTTTGTTTCTACTAAAAATACAAATATTAGCTGGGCATGGTGGTGCGTGCCTATAATCCCAACTACTCAGGAGGCTGAGGCACAGGAGTTGCTTGAACCCAGGAGGTGGAGGTTGCAGTGAGCCAAGATCATGCCACTGCACTCCAGCCAGCCTGGGTGACAAAGTGAGACTATGTCTCCAAAAAAAAGAGAATACAGCCAGGCATGCTGGGCAGATGCCAGGGGTCCTGCGCAAAGGGCTCTGCACTTGCTCAATCTAAAATTGCCTTGGCAGGCCCGGTGCGGTGGCTCATGCCTGTAATCCCAGCATTTTTGGAGGCTGAGGCAGGCAGATCACCTGAGGTCAGGAGTTGGAGACCAGCCTGGCTAACATGGTGAAACCCTGTTTCTACTAAAAATACAAAAAATTAGCCGGGCGTGGTGGCGTGCGCCTGTAATCCCAGCTACTCGGGAGGCTGGGGCAGAAGAATCGCTTGAACCCAAGAGGTGGAGTTTGCAGGGAGCCAAGACTGCGCCATTACACTCCAGCTTGGGCAACAAGAGCGAAACTCCATCTCGAAATAAATACATACATACATACATACACACACACACATATATACATACAACTGCCTTGGTGAATGGGGCAGGTATGCACCTACAGTGCCTGGTGGGCACTGCTGCAGCTAAGCCCAGGCCTACCCAGGCCCTCGCTCAAGGCAGAGGTCTGTGAGTAGCTAGCAGGCTCTGGGAGCTTGACAGGGTCCAGAAACAGCTCACCATCAATAGGGGCCTAGAAGTGGGCCCTTCCTTCCCTCCCCCAAGACATGCCACTCACACTTGTCCAGCTGAGAGAGGCTGAAGAGATTCTGCAAGTAAGCTTCCACGCAGAAGGTGTTGGCCAAGAGAACCTGCCAGAACCGAGGACAGAAAAGATATGCCCAAATTCCTGGAATCAGACCTCTGAGCTTCAAAAACCCAGCCTATCAGCCAAACTGGGTAGCATGGCAGGGGTCACAAGGCCTGGCACAGGAGTCACCCCGTCTTGGGTTCTAATTCCAGCCCTGATCCAACAGCCTTTCCCCAACAGCAAGTGACTCAACATCTCTGACCCTGTTTCCTCTGAAAGGCAGATGTCACAATCCTGGTATCTGCAGGTGCTCTGGAAAGTGCAGGCAGAGATCCTGGTATACAGTGGGTCCTCAGAGACTGCACCCGCCTCCCTCCAGCACAGCGGGCAATGTGCAGGGTCTGTCCCTTGCTGGGGGTAGGGGCACTGGGATCAGGAACCCCTGTCACTCACCCCCTCTTCTCTCAGTCAGGAAGAAGAAAGGGAACAGCCCCATCTCCTGAGCAGCACAGACCCTCCCACGGCCACCGCATGGTGAACCTGCACAGCCTCCCCCACACCCGACCACACCCTCCTCAACAATCAACTTCATTAAAGTGCAGCAGGACAGATGGCAGCAGCCAGGCCCTGTGTGAGGCTGGGCTGGGCTCACCTCGTGGTCGTGGTTGCGGAGCCCAATGCGGATGGAGCGGCTGGCCCGCGACAGCACGGCCGTCATGCCATACAGGTTGATGAGGATGTTGGCCACCCGCTTCAGTACCAGCTGCTCCTCCATGATGGTCTGGGATCACAGAGGCTCCAAGTGGGGACTCACTACCTAGACCAGTCCCCCACATGGTCCCTCCCTGGGCTGCATCTTTGCCTGTCTTAGTCTCCTGTGTTCCTTGAGAAAGTGGAGTCAATAACACCTTTCTCTTCAGGTTGTGGGAGAACGGCTCCCAGCCACCTTCTGTTTTCCCTTCTCTTTGAGCTCTAGATTCAGGGAGGGGTTAAGGCAAGACCAGGTCCCAGAAGCTTGGCTGAGACCAGAAGCCAGTGCTTACTGTGCTACTGCCACCTTCAGCAGCAAGGGCCCCACCAATCAGGTCCCTAGATTCAGGCCCCAGGTGGAGCTGCCCTCCCGATTCTAGGGAGCCTCTCTACCTGAAAGGTGCACAGAAAAACACTGCAGAAAACTCACCCAGCAAGGGTACCCATCCGAGTAGCTAAGTGGGCCCCAGGCTGACAAAGTCAGCCTGACCTCACCACCCCATCCCTCCAGGGTGATCAACATTTCTGTTCTAGGCCTGGTCCCAAAGGATGCTTGACAAAAAGTAGTCTCATGAATGCTGGCCAAATTGGAGGACCGCTTGCGACCCAGGCCTGGGAGGGCCTGGTTACCTTGCCAAAGCGGAGCAGCAGTGTCTCCACGGTCCGGCCGAAGCAGTAGGTGTTCTCCTCAAACTTGTTGGCACTGTCCTATTAACCAAGACAGGACTCAGTTCAGCACCTCATCCCTACAGTGCCCTGTCCTGTCTCACAGCCCGGGTACCAGGCAGAGATGCCCCATCTGGGGGAAGCAATCCAGGGTGTCATGGACTAGCTGGTGTTCCCCAACTTCCCCTGGAGAAGCCCAGACCCCCCACAGTGAGATCTTTTCTGCCACAAGGAGATCTGGCAGGAGGGCATTGAAATAGGGGGTATGCCTGTTAGGCCCACTCACCGCAAGACTGGGGTGCACAACTCCATGGTTGCCTGTCAGCCCCAGGTCCACAGTTCGGCCCAGGGAGTCCCGAAGCCTCCGGCCAACGGTATCCATGACTGTGCTCACTTTGGCCTGTTTAAGCTCACTGCAGAAAGTCCATGGTCCTGTGACTGGAGGCCTCGCTGCTGGCGCTCACTGTCCAGCAACATGGCCCATTCGGCACCCAGAAGCTCCGTGCCCCCCTCTGGCCTGGGTATGCTGGGCCCCTGGCTACAGCCTGAACCCCCCCAAACCCACCACCTGCCAGAGAGCAGCCAGTCTCCTCAGGGGAGCCACACATATGCTCCCCCATGAGGGGTGGAGTCACAGCCAGCTTCCCAGCAGCTGTCTCCTGTGAAGGAGACAAAATGCTACTAGCAACCTGTACTTGGCCTCCAGCAGTGATTTTGGATTACTGTGCCCCTAGGGTGGGGGTGGAGGGGAGCATGAGGGGAAGAAGGGCAGAGAAGAGAAACACTGGCTTATGTTGGCTGTGAGGCCTGGCACCTTTAAAGGGACACCTCTCATTCTTCAGGTTCTGAAAAACCAGCTGCCTCTAGTGTGAGGGACCAGATGGGGGATACGGTATTTATGCTGAAGCTGTAGGGTGCTGTGGCCATAAGGGCAGGGCAGCGAGGGCTTCCCTGGGCAGCAAGCCCCCCACTACCACAGGGGAAGGTCCCCTCCACAAGGCTGCGCCACACCCCCATGCCCCCACTCCAGGTCAAGGCAGCTCTTTCCTCCCACTGCCCTGGACTGGCCCCTGCTGGGCAGGTATGGGACCTGAGAAGCACACGGTGACAATGGCACCTACTGGATCCTGGTAGTCAGGATGCGGCCGGCATGCTGCAGACCCGTCAGGGCGATGTACATCCGGAGAATCTCATTGGTTCCCTGTGGTCAGTAGTGTAGAGGTCAAAGGCTGCCCCCCGGCCAGGCAGCCATGGTAGTGCCACGTGTGCTGGGTAGAGCCGGCCACTGCCTGCTTGCCCATTGCCACAAAAGCCACTGCTCCTGAAGTAGCTGGGAGCAGGGCTCTGGCCAGGGCTCAGGGAGTGCACAGGGATGAGGAGGGAGGTGACCAGATGGCCATGAGCTCCCACTGGGACCCCCCCACCTCTCCGTGACCAGCCTCACGTGTGTCAAGCCTTTCTCCAAGTCTCCAGGTCCTCTGTAAAATGGAAACCAGCTTTCCCCGGGTGGTGAGGGGTGCTGATGCCTGGGGCTCAGCCAGTGCCAGACAGACATTGCTGGCTCCAGGTGGAGGCCAGATTCCTCACGGAAGCCAGAAATTGCTGAGTGGCAGCTAGAACCTCCTCAGTGCCAGGTGTCAACACACCCAGAGGGCCACATGCTCCCCACTCCCCCAACCCATGATTCTGATCAGTGAGAGGCCAGTGGGCTTCTGCCCACTCTGCACAATGGTACTGTGTGTCAGGTGCAGGGGCCTGACCCAGGCTACACAGCCAGCACTAGGGACTGAGGACTGTCCCCTGCAGTCAGGCTGACATCACGGACAGCAGGACTCCCTACAGGAAAAGGGGGGACTGCAGGGGCCTCCTGGCAGGACCACCCAGCTCCGAGCAGGCTCCAGACAGGAGCTCTCACCCTACATCGAGAGCCCTGTGTTCTTCCAAGGCCTTGAGGGCTTCCTGAACCCTGCTGACCACCCCAGCCCTGGAGAACCCCAACCCTCCCAGGCTAAGGGAAGGGCCTTTGGAGAAGACCCTTTGCAGGGCTGAGACCACTCCAGTGCCCTCAGGCTGGCCCTTGCCCCGTATGTCCACTGCAACAGTGGAGATGGCTGGAACCCAATGGGTAGGCCAGGAACAAAAGCAGCCAAGGAGGCCTCCCACTGGGCAGGACGGCCCAGGAGACAAGACTACACTCCCAGAGGCTGATGATGCCTCTCATCACCAGACCTGCTGCTCAGGCCCAAACCCTCTCCCTGTCTCAGGCCTGCCTCCTGTATACCCATGCCCACCATCATATCCCACTCATCCTGCTGTGCTCTCTTAGGTCCAGCCCCTCCCTCCCAGCAGGAGAGCCCCTGGTCTCCGGCCTCATCCCTGCAACTCACTCTCCACATGAGCCCCGTCCACATGTCCAGCACTTGCTGAGCCCCTGGGGGCATTTCCCACAACACAGATACAACCAAATAATGCCCTGCTTAAAGACGTTTTGTGGCTTCCAAATTCCTCTGCTGTCAATCAAGGTCCTCCACAGTCTGGCTACTTTTTTAGCCTTCCCATATACCTTCTTCAACACCCCCAAACCCACTGCCTGCCCCAGCCCACCTAGCAGGGCTGACTGCTGCTCCCAGAAAGCCCTTCACTCTCTCTTCATTCACCTTGTGCCAGCAGATCAGTCCCATCTGGGCCTGGCGCGCTCTATTACCCTGCCCTTAGGGACAAACTGCCCTCCACCCGGCCCTGGTTGAAGCCCTTTCTTTCTGCCCCTAGGGGCCAGGAGCGCATGCTTCACAAAACTCTGGCTGCCTCTGGAGGATGCCCGCTCCCTGCCTCTTTACACTCTGTCATCTCCCTTGGTCGGCCCTGCTGCACAATCAGAACACAGCATCCGAAGTCATCTCTGTGGCCCCAGTTCCCTCCCCTGCCACCTGGCACATGCTAACTGAACTGACTCCTCAGGCTTGTGACTTCATGGAGGGCAGCAGTCGGGAAGGAGACGTGCCAGGGCTAGGAGAGCCCCTGAGAGCATGCGACCCAGCCCTGGGCTGCGGGGGCCTCTGCGAGGCCCTGAGCAGCATCTTTAGGACCAGGCAGGGTGGGGGTGGAGCACAGCTTAGCTGGTGGCGGGGCCACTCACCTCGAAGATGAGGAGGATGCGGGTGTCACGCAGTATGCGCTCGTACGGATAGTCCCTTGTGTAGCCCAAGCCCCCGAGGATCTGCAGCGCCTCACTCACACACTGCCAGGCGGCCTCGGAGCTGAACACCTGTGGGGTGTCACACTGAATCCTTTCCAAAAGGAGGACCTACGCTGCAGGGAGCTGGGTGGCTGGGGAGGCATGGGAGGCACACGGGCTTGGGGAGGAGATCGGCCAGGGAGGAACTTGAGGGGTGATGTGGTCAAGTCCTTTGCCTTCCGTGACCACACTGGCCAGCTTGTGTTCCCTACCCCACCATGACCTTCTGTACCTCTGGGCCTGCCTTCACCCTATCTGCACCTGGCTGAGCTCCTGTTCCTTTAAAACCCACCTAAGATCTCCCCTTCCCGAGAAAACCTGACCTGTTCCTGCCAAGCCCCAGCGGCCGTGATTTCTTTCTGTCTGTGCACACTATAAGTGCCTTGGGGGCAAACATACTGCCATGTTTAGCCCTAGGCTTAGCATCTGGAAGAGGCTGGCCTACAGCAAACTAATGTCTGTGGTCACTGTTCAAGGGTGACAAGAAAACGAGATGATAAAACACATGCAAATGCACCCAGTACACAGACTGCACCTAGAAAAGACTCAAACACGGTCCAAGATGCCCAGCCTTTTTGTTTTTAATTTTTTATTTTTTTAGGGACCTTGCCACTTCAGGATCCCAACCTTTTAGGTAGACTCTCCTGCCGACACCAGGATGTTTGCTTCTGTAAGCTGCCATACCTCTCACTATTTCTCTCAAGAGCTCAATTCCAGAGACCAGCTTAAAAACAATTGTGGGGGGCACAAAGTAGGGTCCCCCCAAGTGTGGCCATCTTTTTTATTACAGCTAAAAAATGACACCCTCCACCCTCAACAAAACAAAAGCAAATTCTAGTATCTACCTTAACCAAATAAGATGCTCTTCCCACCTCAGCCTCCCAGGTAGCAGGGACTATAGGCGTGTGCCACCATGCCAGCTAATTTTTGTATTTTTTGTAGAGATGGGGTTTCGCCATGTTGCCCAGGCTCATACATGTTTTTTGTTTTTTGTTTTTTTTTGAGATGGAGTTTTGCTCTTGTTGCCTAGGCTGGTGTGCAATGGCACAACCTCGGCTCACTGCAACCTCCGCCCCCACCGGGTTCAAGTGATTCTCTTGCCTCAGCTTCCCAAGTAGCTGGGGTTACAGGTGCCCGCCACTATGCCCGGCTAATTTTTTGTGTTTTTAGTAGAGATGGGGTTTTACCATGTTGGCCAGGCTGGTCTCGAACTCCAGACCTCAGGTGATCCATCCACCTCGGCCCCCCAAAGTGCTGGGATTACAGGTGTGAGCCACCGCGCCCTGCCATATGCTTAGTTTTTAAGATAAAGTTTTGATACCAGAAAGTAGGAAGGCCATAAACTAAGGAAAAAAGAAGTCTTTCTCACACAAGCCAGATGCAATGTTATTACTCTAAAAGGATATTATCATAACGGTCTCCTTCTGCTATAAACTACTGATCCACTGGCCCACTGGACACTTCCCTACTGCTGCTCCCCGCTGCCTGCCTATCCCTGGAGTGCTACACAGGGCAAGTGCATCATAAATACTGGATCAATGACAGGAGGAAGATGACAGGCAACAGCATGGGCTTGAAAGGTCACAGTGAGGGAGATTTCCCAAGCCTCCCTCCAGCGCCAGCTCTCTGGCTATGCCAGGGTTACCTTCACCATGGCTGCCTCGATGGAGCAGTCGGGAAAGCCAGGTTGGTCCAGCATCCCTGCTGTGAGGTAGGTCATACTCTCCATGACGTAAGCCTTCTGAGCCATCAGTGCAAATTTCTCCTGGAGTGTTCAGAAAAAACACAAGAAACAATTTGCATGTGCTGAGAGCCAAATCTGTGAAACAGGAGAGAAAGTAATTAAGTCAGAAGCCTCAATGCCCAAGAGAAGCAAGCCCAGTGACCCGTGTCAAATAAAGCCTTAACTAGTCTTCTTCCCAAATCACCACAGAAGTCACCAGTACAGAGACATCAAAAGAACACACCGTTCATGTCACACAGTGAAATGCACAAATACAGTACTCAACCATTGGTACCTGAATCAATCCAAATTCACTGAGCCTCTTGTTAAACTGTTTCCTTGTGCAGGCGTACTCAGCAGTCATTTCTGAGGAAGAGCAGAGTTATTAGAATGAACTGGAATATTTCTGTGGTTCAAACATGATTTCCTATGGCCATCATCCTTACCCTTCCCACAGGTGGGCACTGTGAGAAGCGTGTCTGCTGAGGTCAAATACCCCAGAAGCTGGCACCCCCACTTGCCAGCACCCGTGGGTCAGAGGAGAACCACCCCTCCTCATGGCACCCACACACAGAGTTTGGCATCAGATACAGACTTGAATCCTGGCAATGGTTCTTACAGGCTGTGCCTCAGGCCGAGTGCGACACCTCCCTGAACACCACCCCCACCTCAGAGTCGCTGTGAAGATGCAACCAGGTGGAAGGGGGAGGGCGCCTCGCACAAAGCCAGGCACAGAGGCCCCAGACAGAGGTGGTGCAGGCTCACACCCCGTGCAGTGACCAAAGCAGGTGGGGCCGCCTGGCTTGAATACTCAGGCTGGGGCTTCCAGGCGTGTGGCTGTGACAAAGTGCTGAGCTCTAAGGGCCCAAGAGTGACATGGCGCCTCTCCCAGGCAGAAGCACCCCCGCCCCGCCATAGCCATGTCCTCCACAGGCTCTCCCAGGTGTGGTGCACTCAGGAGGTGTAGAGGGCCGAGCCCCACTCAGAGCCCCAGCAGAGGAGCTCCCCAGAGGCCTTGTGCCTGAGTAAGAAGAGCCCTGAGCCTGGAGCCTGACAGCTTTCATTTTGGGTCCAGGAGCACAGTCTGGAACAAATCGCTTGCCCTCTCTGAGTCTCTGTCTTCTCATCTCTAAAATGGAGGGAAGCCAAAACAGGCCCAGAGCCTGGCACCAAAGAGGAGCTTCATAAAGCACTTAGGGGTGTGCTGCCCCGGGTACCCCCATTTCCCCGCAAATGCTTCCACCACAACCAGGATGGTTACAGGGCTGTTCTAAGTTCACTGGCAAAGGAAAATGGAGGTTTGGGGTATTCTGACAGAATAGAACAAAGGTAAGATCCAGGGGCCCAGGGACCTGGGTTCCAAACCCGATCCTACTCCCCACCCACCATGCAGAGTCACCCAGGAGGCACGGACCTTGGGAACCAGAGGCCGTGTATCCTGGAAGCCTGGTTCTTGGTGTGTGCTCACCAAGCAGCTCTGCTCCTACTGGTCAGTGGCAACCTCTCACTCCAGACAGACAGCCCATTCCCCAATCCCCATCCCCACCCCAGACAGAAAGCCTGTCCCCCAGTCAGCATCACCCGGGTGGAGGTGAAACAGAGGAATGCGGAAGACAACAAACCTCAGGGGCAGGCTGAGGAGACCCTCTGGTCTCCACAAAAGCCCAGGGACTGAGCTCAGGCTGGTAGCCTGGTTCAGCACTGGCCTGGAAGGGGCCGGGGGAATGGCAGAGCCTCCAGGGTTGGAGCCGGGGCAGCAGGGGGTGGGGCACAAAGGGCCTTGTCCCTAACTTACCTACCAATCAATCTCTTGAGCAGCCCAGCCACGACGCTGCCCATGCTGAACCGGCCGCTGTTGAGGATGTTCATGGCCACCTGCAGGGAGAACAGGGAGAGCCCAGGGGCCCTGAAGGAGGCAGAGGGAGGAGGCCGCAACGAAACCAGGCCAGGTGGATCAGCTTGCCTTCCCTCAAGCTGGGAGAAAGCACCATCCTAATGCCTCAGAACAAGGTGGTTCAGTCACTGTTGCAGCTCTACCAACATCCCCACACACAAGACCACTGAACGTTATTCCAAAGGACCATGCCAGAGCTGGGCATGGTGGCTCCCACCTGTAGTACCAGCATTTTGGAAGGCCAAGGCAAGAGGATCGCTTGAGCCCAGGAGTTCAAGACCAACTTGGGCCAAACAGAAATTCTACTTTTAGGCATAAATCAAAATACCTGAAAACGTTATTTCCACATTAAAACTTGACATGAATGTTCATAAGTAGCATTACTGATAGCAGCCAAAAGCGGTAACAACCCCAATGTCCATCAGCTGGTGAATGGATGAACAAAATGTGGTATCTCCACTCAACAGAAGAGAATTCAGCCATAAAAGGAATGAATTACTCATTCATGCTATGAGAGAGATGAACCTTGAAAACATCACGCAATGTGAGAGAAGCCTGTCACCAAAGACTGGATCTTGTATATGACTGCATTTTTATGAAATGTTCCAAACAGGCAAATCCATAGGGACATAAAGTAAAAGAGTAGCAGCCAAGGGATGGGGTAAGGGTCATACTGGATGGTACAACATTTCTTTTTGGGGTGAGGAAATGTTCTGTGTGAGATATTTGAACAACATAGTGAATATACTAAAAACCACTGAAATAATATTTTAAAATGGTGAGTCCTTTGTCATATGAATCATCTCTTGATAAAAATAAGTCTTAGTCCAAAAAGAAAAGAGTAGGGCAGCGATGCAGACCAGGGTTGTGGTACACAGAGCTTGAGATTCACCAGAGCCCACAGGCTGCTTTCTCATACCCACTGCAGAAGGGAATCTTAGCCTCCGCTCGAGGCGAATAGGGCCTCAGAGGTGAAGGGAAATTCCTAATCCTTACCATACACTTCTTCTAGGAGCCAGCCAATTTTCCAGTGTCCATTTTGCCAATTTCCCAACAGATAACCATGCAAAGTCACCTGCCATGCACAGGCTACTCTGCTACGAGCAGGGATAGGGCAAAAGCTGGGGGCGACAAACTGCACTCATGACACTACCTGGTACAAGGGGCTGTGGCTGGCAACTCACCTTAAACCCATCTCCGACCTCTCCAAGGATGTTTTCCACAGGTATCTTGGTGTTTTCAAAATGGACTTCACAAGCTGAAACACATGAAATTTAAGATATCATCTGACAATGCAAACCACTCTGCATCTGACCTGCAAGCAGGCAATTCATCCATCCATCCATCCATCCATCCATCCAATGTTTGGTAGGACAGTATAGAAAGACAAAGTTCCTATCTTTGTGGAGGCTCATACTTTGATTTGGGAGACAAAAGCTATAAACAAAACAATGTAATATTGTGATCAGTGCTATGGATGAAATAAATAGGGCATCACGATAAAGAGAAATGGAGGTTGGCAAGGGGGTGGATAATAATATTTTTATTAAGGACTATGTCAGACTTTTCTAAGGTGACATTTAGCAGAAGTTTAAGAATGAAAAGAACCAGGCATATAAAGAGCCAGAACAAGCAAAGTGAGGGAAAGAACAGCATTTCCTGAAGCCTTAGGGTAGACTGGGACCACTGGTCTCAATTCTTAACTCTAACACAATCACACCCCTGCAATCTAACTGTAGCACTCTCCCACTGTGAGGAGGGATGGACCTCCCTCCCTTTCCCTGCCTGCTAGGTATGACCATGTGACTTCCTGTGGCCAATACAAAGAGCTGACCCAACATGAACAGAGACCTTAAATGTGTTTTAGGGTCAGTCGGGTATGGTGGCTCATGCCTATAATCCCAGCATTTTGGGAGGCAGAGGCAGGAAGATCACTTGAACCCAGGAGTTCGAGACCAGCCAGGACAACATAGCAAGACCTCATCTCTATTTAAAAAAAAAAAAAAAAAGGCCGGGTGCGGTGGCTCACGCACTTTGGGAGGCCGAGGTGAGCGGATCACGAGGTCAGGAGATCGAGGCCATCCTGGCTAACATGGTGAAACCCCATCTCCACTAAAAAATAGAAAAAATTAGCCGGACGTGGTGGCAGGCAGCTGTAGTCCCAGCTATTCGGGAGGCTGAGGCAGGAGAATGGCGTGAACCCGGGAGGCGGAGCTTGCAGTGAGCCAAGATAGTGCCACTGCACTCCAGCCTGGGCGACAGAGCGAGACTCCGTCTCAAAAAAAACAAACCAAAAAAAAGTGGCCAGGTATGGTAACTCACACGTGTAATCCTAGCACTTTGGGAGGCTGAGGCAGGTAGACTGCCTGAGCTCAGGAGTTCAAGACAAGTCTGGGCAACATGTTGAAACCCCATCTCTACAAAAAATACAAAAATTAGCCAGGTGTGGTGGTGCACGCCTGTAGTCCCAATTACTTGGGAGGCTGAGACAGGAGAATCACTCGAACCCAGGAGGCAGAGGTTGCAGTGAGCTGAGATCACAGCACTGCATTCCAGGCTGGGTGACAGAGGGAGACTATGTCTCCCACGGCAAAAATAGTACTTATATGGCTTGGCTTGGCCCCTTAGGTGCTTATGATCTGCTCTAAGAACAAGCCTCCAGATGGACCTGAACCCAGATGGACCTGAACCCAACTCACAGCCTGAAGCAGGCTGCCAGGCACTGCAGACTGAGACAACTAAAGGCTGGGGACTGTAAGCTGAGCTCTAAGGTGGTGTGTCTGCTAGGGCAGCTACAGCAGGGGATGACCAGCAGGCCTTCAAGTGAGCAGCACTCAGCTGCAGGAACAAAGACAAAGCCCAAGTGGCATTCTTAATTTGATCTTTTTAAAATGCTTAACAAAAACTGAAAGTGTTTAAATCTCATTTTATCTTGCTATTTGGACAGAGTCAAGGGCCAGTCTCCCCCTTACACACACACACACACACACACACACACACACACACACACCGTCAAAGGCCAGTCTCCCCCTTACACACACACACGCGCACGCGCGCACAGGAGCTACTTACTGTTGGAGCCCCGAATGCCTAATTTATCTTCGGGTTTCCCATTAGTGACTCCACCAAAGTCTCTTTCTACTATGAATGCTGTGATTTTGTCTTTCACTGATCCATCAGAATCAACGACCTCAGTCTTTGCAAACACAGTAAAAATATTGGCCAGTCCTCCATTAGTAATCCAGACCTGAGGACAGAAAGATGGACTTTGGAGAAAACCAAACCCCTATGTGACCCACCTCAGCTCTGTCTTTGTCCATCAAGCTCCAGCTGCCAGTCAGACCTCAGGCCAGACATGCAGGGTCCTTGGCTCTGCAGAAGCCAACCAAGCATGAGTGAATAGAGGACAGGGCTCAGCCCACTTTCCCCAGAGCAAGGATTTTCCCAAGGGACATGGATGGCCAGGTGGAGGCGGGGGCGGGGGAAAGAACACCCAAAGTTGTCAGACAGCTCAGGCTCCACCGCCAGACAACTGCATTTCTTCAAGAAAGAAAGGGTTTAATCATTTCTTAAGGTATACATATATAAAAACATCATGTTGTAGATGTAAATACACACAACATTTATTTGTTAATTCTACAAAGAAATGAAAAAAGGCGGGAGGGTGGTGAGGAGGAGGAAAGGAAACAGAGGGAGACAGAGGCAGAAACAGACTCCTTAACAAACAGCAACAGATGGGACTTGTGTGGATCTTAATTCAAGCAAACAGTTAAACCAAAAAAAGGTATGAGGCAATCAGGGATATTTGAATGCTGATAGAAGTAAGAAATTATTAGCTGGGCACAGTGGCTCACGCCTGTAATCCCAGCACTTTGGGAGGCCGAGGTGGGCAGACCACTTGAGCCCCGGAGTTTGAGACCAACCTGGGCAACACGGTGAAAACCCATCTCTACCAAAAAAAAAATACAAAGAGTTAGCTGTGTGCCTGTACTCCCAGCTGCTTGGGAGGTTGAGGTAGGAGAATCACCTGAGCCCAGGAAGTTGAGGCTGCAGTGAGCCAAGATCGTGCCACTGCACTCCAGCCTGGGTGACAGAGCGGGACCCTGTCTCAAAAGAAAAGAGAAATTATCAATTTTTAAAATGTGATAAGGGTATTACGGCTTTGTGTTTATTAAAAAACAAAAACAAACAAAAAAAACTCCTGTCTTTTAGAGAGGCATGCTGAGATTGTTACCATGCGATCTGGAGGTGGCGATGCTGCTGGAAGAGGCACAGTGGCCATAAGCAGGTGACTGCCGGAGTTAGGGCCAGCCAGGCACACAGAATATGTCTGAAACTTTGTGTAACAAAAAATTTAAAGATTTTTTGGGTTTACAAGCCGGGCACAGTGGCTCATTGCCTGTAAACTCAGCACTTTGGGAGGCCGAGGTGGGCAGATCACTTGAGGTCAGGAGTTCAAGACCTGACTGGACAACATGGTGAAACTCCATCTCTACTGAAAATACAAAAATTAGCCAGGAGTGGTGACACGCACCTCTAATCCCAGCTACCCAGGAGGCTAAGGCAGGAGAATCATTGGAAACCTGGGAGGCAGAAGTTTCAGTGAGCTGAGATTACACCACTGCACTCCAGCCTGGGTGACAGAGACTCCATCGCAAATAAAAAAAACTAAAAAAAATTAAAAACAAACACATAAAAGCAGCTCAAGAAGGTAGTCGGTGCTACAGCAGCAGGTACAATCCCTGGTGTGTGGAGAGTGCTCACTCAGTGGCAGTGAAGGTTGTGACTGAGACCCTAATGTGGCCATGGGGAAGGAACCCTACCTTGGAGCCATTGAGGATGTAGTGCTTCTTGTCTTCACTTAGTGTGGCTCTGCTCCGGATTGAGGCTGCATCGCTCCCACTGCAGATGCAGAAAGATGTGGTCAAGGGAGAATACTGGGAATAAATATGAATGCTTTTGAGGGCCTGAAAATGGAGGTTTTAGTACTTGTAAGAGGTCAGCAAACTTTTAAAATGAAGGGTCAGATAACATATTCAGCTTTCCAAGCTGCAGGATGTCTGTCTCACCTCCTCAACTCTGCTGCTATTAATAGAACATGAGGCTGAGGCAGGTGGTTCACGAGGTCAAGAGATTGAGATCTGGCCAACATGGTGAAACCCCGTCTCTACTAAAAATACAAAAATTAGCTGGGTGTGGTGGGGCATGCCTGTAGTCCCAGCTACTCGGGAGGCTGAGGCAGAAGAATCGCTTGAAGGCGGAGGTTGCAGTGAGATGAGATTGAGCCACTGCACTCCAGCCTGGGTGACGCAGCAAGACCCTGTCTCAAAAACAAACAAACAAAACTTATTTATAAAAAACAGGCAGGAGGCTGGATTTAGCCGACCTCTGCTTCAATACATCACGTAAAAAAGCGGCAGTGAAAACAACTTGGGCTTAGGTTTAAACATGGAAATGGGTGCTTGCAATGGGCTCATCTGAGGTCCTGTGAGGATGAGTTCTGGGCACCCCAGGAAGGATGACTGTTCCCAGGTTCTCATGCAAAGTGAAGCAGGATGGAGGATGGTCCAGGTGATGGACTTATCATCAGAGTCCCGAGTGCTGCCGCAGCCCTGCTCCATCCAGCAGATCACACAGCCTCACTGAACCTCAGCTCCTAATGTGTAAGTGGGAGCAGTACCACCCACGCTATATATTCTGAAAGGTGCTTTGAAGCCGGAACGTTATTACTATATTGTATGTCAAGGTGTGTTGTAAACCACAAAAATTTATTTAATAAGTGCTGTCAAGCGTGGTATCTCACTTGCAAGTCTCACTGGGACAGAGAAATAAGGTCAAGATAAGAGGAATGGCAAGAACAGTTGCTGAGTTGATTCTTTGCAAGATTTTGGAAAGAAGGAAAAGTCAGCTACTCAACAAAACCAACAGCCCCTTGCCCCAGTGAATCTTGGGCAACATCACAGCTGCTGAGGGATAACGTTTTGTGCAGAGACAGACCTGGCTGGCTCCGTGAGGCAGAAGGCTGCAATGTGCTCCCCGGACGCCAGTTTAGGCAAGTATTTGGCTTTCTGCTCCTCAGTGCCAGCCAAGATGATCCCCTAAACAAAACAGACACAGACTAATGTCAGCTGTGGGGAGAAAGGAGAGCATGAGGTGTTTGTGAAACATTTCCTTTCTGAGGCAAATATTTACTTCGGGCAAGAGAAGACAGCAAGAACTCAGAGCAAGCGGCCACAGGCAGAGCCCAGGGAGCCAAGCTGCTGAGGAGACGGTCAGGGCGCACATGCCAGTGCCGTGAGCCTGTGCAACCCACAGTGCTTTGCAGTCTGTGTCCAAAACTTTCATATCAGTTCCTTCATTTCCCAGACTAGTGGTCTTGGGCAAAGGATATCCCTTTCCAAAGAAAGCCTCCTCCATCTTGTCATCCACAAACTGGGCCACTCCCACCCACTGACAGGGTCTGGATGATGCAATGTGAAGACACAGGAGTGCTGGAACCAAGCCTATCCTAAAGAAGGTGCTCAGTGTCAGGGCTGTCCCACCTGCTGCCCTCCCAGTGCCACAAAGACAGTCCCCCTCTTCACTAAACATCTGCATGAATGTGTGCGCTCTCTGGGGTGGGGGAGCCGAGCATGGTGTGCATTCAGCTCTCTTTGATGTCAACATTAAGCAGAAATAATCTGAGTAATGAGATTGCCAGTAAGGGCGGTTGACCCTGGGCCTGCCCTAAGGTGCTCCAAGCCCAGTGGGGAGAAGGTGGCTTGCATAAAGAGTGGGGGCATGCTCAGGCTGAAGGACGAAGGCTCAGGAGAGACCACTTCCAGCCCAAGGCGAAGGCAGTGGCACCCTACCTGGGCCTTGAAGGGTGGATCAGAGGCAATGGGGACAGGAGGTGGATTCAGAAGGAAGGGACATGCGACCCAAAGGCCACTGCGCATGTGGGCAGTGTGTGAGGATTGAGCACCATGAGGTGTGGCCAGAGTGAGGGAACTGAAGGGCAGGGCTGAAGGTCAGATATCAGGCCCAATTCAGAGGGAGCAAGCCTCTGGCCTCTATGCCTCCATGTGACTCCAGAAGACCTACAGAGAGCACCACACAGAATCCCCAGATACCTGACCTTGAGGCCAATAGCCTGGTGCGCTGCCAGGGTCACAGTGATGGACCCATCCATGCTGATGATCTCCCCTAGTCTTGAGTACATGGTGTTGGAGAAGCCCAGGCCACCTAGGAGAGATGGACCAGCGTCAATCACAGCCCAGCCCTAGATTCCTCCCATTAAGGCTTCATTGGCTTTTTTTTTTCTTCTGATTATAAAGTAATGCCAGATCACCATATTAAAAAAAAAAATCACAATACAGGCCGGGCATGGTGGCTCACACCTGTAATCCCAGTACTTTGGGAGGCTGAGGCAGGCAGATCACCTGAGGTCAACAGTTCGAGACCAGCCTGGCCAACATGGCAAAACCCCGTCTCTACTAAAAATACAAAAATTAGCCAGGTGTGGTGGTGTGTGCCTGTGGTCCCAGCTACTCAGGAGGCTGAGGCATGAGAATCACTTGAACTTGGGAGGCAGGGATTGCAGTGAGCCAAGATCGCACCACTGCACTCTAGCTTGGGCAACAGAGAGAGACTCTGTCTCAAAAAAAAAAAAAAAAAAAAAATCACAATACAGAAAGGTACAAAGTAAACAAAAATCGAGGGCTGGGCACAGTGGCTCACGCCTGTAATCCCGGCGCTTTGGGAGGCTGAGGTGGGAGGATTGCTTGGTTCCAAGAATTCAAGACTAGCCTGGGCAACATAGCAGGACCCCAGCTCTACAAAATAAAAAAAATTCACCAGGCATGGCGGCGCACGCCTGTAGTCCCAGCTACTTGGAAGGCTTAGGTGGGAGGATTGTTTGAGCCCGAGGAATTCAGGGCTACAGTGAGCTATGACCACACCACTGCACTCCAGCCTGGATGACAGAGTGAGACCCTGTCTCAAAAAAAAAAAAAAAAAAAGCTCGCAATCTTGTGCCTCAGAAAGCGCATTTCTGTGTATATCCTTCCATCCACACTTTTTCTAGGCATACAAGCATATGTAGATATATACTTTAAATATGAAGATATCTACACACACATCGAATCAATTAACATGTAGTGAGAATCTTCCATCACAGCTGTAGGTCTTTATAAATGCAACAACTATAGTGTGACCCACTGCCCAGTATCCAGAGGACTCCAGGACAGAGCTTTTCCACTGTGGCACTGTAACATTTTGGAATGGATTGTTTTCTGTTTTGGGGGTCTGTCCTGTGGATTGTCAGATGCTTAGCAGCATCCTTGGCCTTTATAATTTTATATCAAAAGGGCCTGAGGGTAAACACAAATGGCACACATGTGTGTGGTCTATCCCTTTGAACCTTGAAGGTCTACCTTGCCTTCTACACACTGCTTGCCTGTCCCTTTAACCTCTGCAGAATTCAGGTGACCAACTCGAGAAAAAGCGTAAGGGAGGCAAGTTGTAGTGACTGGCCAACTCTAATAAGGCAGAACCGCCACTTGGGGGCTAAAAACATCACTAGGATGCTCAAAGAATTACAGGGACAGTCCATAGGACAAAGGACCCTGCTCAAAGGTTCCCACTGGTCCAATCTCCCACCTCGATGTGCCTTGCACTCTACAGCCAGCCAGACCACATGCCTCATTCCTCTGTGCTAGGATGAGAAGCACAGGACCCGAGAACACTTCCTCCCTACAGGTCCTTCAGTCAGTCCACCCCTACCAAGTAGCCCACCACGGATGGTGTCATCTATTCCAGCAACTAGACCTGTTATGGACAAATACAGAGTGCTTTCTTAAGAGCTAAACTGGCTGGGTGCTTGTTTGCTTGACTTACCATATTCTTCTGGGACTTGCAGCCCAAAAAGCCCTAGGCTCTTCAATTTCTCCAAAGTTTCATCTGGGATTTTCCCTTCCTGGTCAATTTTTCGGGAGTCCACTGCCAAGAGGAAAATCTTGATTAAACAAATATAAGCTATGTTTCTACAAATATAAGTAAACAGGACAGTGTTTATATATTAATCATATATAATCCCAGAGTAGAAACTTTTTCAAAACTAGAAATTCTGTAGTCATGGTCATTTGGCCTGTGTTCAATTTTATGTAATGAGCCCAGGAAAAATTTTATTTTTATATATTTATTTAGAGACAAGGTCTCACTCTGATATCCAGGCTGGAGTGCAGTGGCACAATCATAGCTCACGTAACCTTAATCTCCCAGGCTCAAGTGAGCCTCCTGCCTCAGCTTCATGAGAAGCTGGGACTACAGGTATATACCACCACACCCAGCTAATTTTTTTTTTTTTTTTCAGTAGAGACGAGGTCTTGCTATGTTACCCAGGCTGGTCTTGAACTCCTGAACGCAAGCAATCTTCCCACCACAGCCTCGCAAAGTACTGGGATCATAGGTGTGAGCCACCACGCCCGGCCAGAATAAAATTGTTAAAAGCTGCCAGAGCTAGGTGGTGTTCTATTTCTTGATCTGGGTGCTAGTCACAGGGGTGCTTTTGCTGTGTAAAACAGCAGCAAATTATATACATTCATGGGATGTAAATTTTTCTATAGGCATGTTAAACTTCATGTTTTTCCTCCTCCTTATAGACCTCATACTTTTTTTGGCCGGTATTTTCTAGGAAATGAGAGAATAAATATGCAAGTCTCAGAATTGTACTAAAATGTTCAGCTAGATAGCCACCTCATGGCAGTATCTGGGCCAAGGTTTACTTCACTGCCAGAGGCCATACTGCTTTCAGCACAATCCACAAGTTCTGAGACAGTTTAGCCTGTTTAACACCAATTCATTCATTCATTCAACATTCACATTCAGCCTGTAGTCTCAGCTACTTGGGAGGCTCAGGTGGAAGGATCACTTGACCTGGGAGGTTGAGTAAGCTCTGATGGCACCACTGCACTCCAGCCTGAGCGACAGAGTGAGATCTCATCTCTAAAATAAAAATTCACATTCACTACAGCAAAACTGAACAATCAATAGCATAGCATTAGACCTATAATTGCACACTTTTGTATGCATCAAATTAATTAAAGTGTACTTCTGAATTGCTAATTAAACTTCATCAGTATTATAAATTGTTAAAAACACCATAACCTACACTTAAGAATTTTTGTATACATGGGTCACTAAGAGAACTACAGATTCCCAAAAGTGCAGGCCAAACCCTTCATTTTTTATCCTTTAACAACTTTATTGACATACATAATTGGCGAAGAATAACCTGCACATATTTATAATATATAATTTGTTGAGTTCTGACATATTTGTCAGTGAAAACATGACAATCGAGATAAAAACATTTCCTTTTTCACCAAAAGTCTCTATGCCCCTTTGTGATCGATCCATCTGTCCACCATCCCCAGGCAACCACAAATCTTTGTCTGTAGATCAGTTTGCATCTTCAAGTTTTATATAAATGAATCCATATGGCACCTATTTTCCCGGGCTTCTTTAACTCAGGTCATGATTTACAGATTCACCCGTGTTGTTGCGTGTATAAATACTTCATTACTTTTTGTTGTTCAGTATTCACTGTATGGGTGTACAACTGTTTATCCAAATTCAATAAACAGTATAAACACACAGAGCCAAGAAGTTCAAACAACTCCAAGCAAAATAAATGTGCAAAAAACTACATAAATAAATGTGATAATCAATTTTCCTAAAAACCACTGAAAAGCAGCCAGAGATGAAAAAAACACTATGTACAAAGGAACAAAGAATGGAAGCAGACATCTCTTCTGAAGCAATATGAAGTCAGGAAGAGAGCAGAGCAACACAATTAATGGCCTGAAAGGTAAATCCTGTCAACACAGAAACCTGTTCTGATGAAACAGACTTTTCTTTTTCTTTTTCTTTTCGAGATGGAGTCTCGCTCTGTCGCCCAAGCTGGAGTACAGTGATGTGATCTCAGCTCACTGCAACCTCTGCCTGCCGGGTTCAAGTGGTTCTCCTGCCTCAGCCTCCCAAGTAGCTGGGATTACAGGTGCACACCACCATATCTGGCTAATTTTTGTATTTTTGGTAGAGACGGGGTTTCACCCTGTTGGCCAGACTGGTCTCGAACTCCTGACCTCAGGTGATCTGACAGCCTCGGCTTCCCTAAATGCTGGCATTACGGGCATGAGCCACCATGCCTGGCTGAAACTTTTCTAGACATACAAAAGTGAGAATATGCATCCCCTGCAGAGCTGCACATCATGAAAAGTGAAAGGAAGTCCTTCCCACAGAAGAGCAATGGTAGCAAAAGGGAATCTGACTCTACATGAGAGAATGAAGAGCCCTGGAATCAGTAACTACATGGGTAACTACAAGATCCTTTTTTCCTATTTTAAAAATTGCTGGCCGGGCACGGTGGCTCAAGCCTATAATCCCAGCACTTTAGGCCGAGGCGGGTGGATCACAAGGTCAGGAGTTCGAGACCAGCCTGGCCAATATAGTGAAACCCTGTCTCTACTAAAAAAATATAAAAATTAGCCGGGCATAGTGATGCGCACCTATAGTCCCAGCTACTCAGGAGGCTGAGGCAGGAGAATCGCTTGAACCTGGGAGGCAGAGGTTGTAGTGGGCCAAGATAGCGCCACTGCACTTCAGCCTGGGTGACACAGTGAGACTTCGTCTCAAAAAAAAAAAAAAAATTGCTCTAAAAGATAAACCAACCATTTAAGAATTGTAGGCCTTTTTGCAGACATTGAAAATTGTAAAATTGATAAAGAAATGCAAATTAACTTGTAATGAATCATAGTTCTAAACCTGAATTAAAACTATACAGTTTCTTTTGAGATGGAGTCTTGTTCTGTCGCCCAGGCTGGAGTGCAGTGGTGCGATCTTGGCTCACTGCAAGCTCCGCCTCCCGGGTTCACGCCATTCTCCTGCCTCAGCCTCCCGAGTAGCTGGGACTACAGGCACCTGCCACCACGCCCGGCTAATTTTTTGTATTTTTAGTAGAGACGGGGTTTCACCATGTTAGCCAGGATGGTGTCGATCTCCTGACCTCATGATCCGCCCATCTCGGCCGCCCAAAGTGCTGGGATTACAGGCATGAGCCACTGCGCCCAGCCAAAACTATAAAGTTTCTAAAATAAAATACAGGCCAGGCTGGGCGAGGTGGCTCTCACCTGTAATCCGAGCACTATGGGAGGCCGAGTCGGGCAGATCACCTGAGGTCAGGAGTTCGAGATTGGCCTGGCCAACATGGTGAAGCCCCTTCTCTACTCAAAATACCAAAAATTAGCCAGATGTGGTGGCACGCACCTATAATCTCAGCTACTCGGGAGGCTGAGGCAGAATCGCTTGAACCTGGGAGATGGAGGTTGCAGTGAGTCGAGATGGCATCTCAAAAAAAAAGGAAATACAGGCCAGGCGCAGTGGTTCATACCTGTAATCCCAACACTTTAAGAGGCTGAGGTAGGAAGATCACCTGAGCCCAGGAGTCTGAGACCAGCCTGAATAACATAGTGAGAACCCATTTCTACAAAAAACTTTAAGAATTATTAGCTGGGCATGGTAGCGTGTGCCTGTAGTCTTAGCTATGCGGGAGGCTGAGGCAGAGGATGGCTTGAGCCCAGAAGTTCAAGGGTTGCAGTGAGCTATGATCACACCACTGCACTCCAGCCCAGGCAACAAAGAAAGACCCTGTCTCTTAAAAAAAGAAAAAGAGGAAAAAAGGAATGTTTATGGCAACTTTTTTGGTGATAGCTAAAATCTGGATACATACCCTATGTTGATGAATACTTGAATGGATAAACAAATCTTGGTATATCCATAGAAAGAAATATGACTCAGCATTAAAAAGGAAGCCACTACCAATACATGCACCATGGATGAAATTCAAAATTATGCAGAAAGAAGCCAGACAAAATCACACATAATATAATTCCAAAAAATACGAACTAATCTATAGTGAGAGAAAACAGATCAGCAGTTGCCTGGAAACAGGGGGGAAATAAAAGAGGCACAAGGAAACTTTGACGGGTAATGAGTACGTTCACTTCCTCTGTTGCACTGATGGCTCCTGAGGGGTACTCTCTAAATACAGTCATGCGTCAGGTGATTCTCTCCCTGTATGAACATCAGAATGGACTTACACAACCTAGGTGGCAGAGCCTACTACACACCTAGGCTATATGGTATGGCTTATTGCTCCTAGGCTGCAAACCTGTACAGTAGGCCGGGCGTGGTGTCTCATGCCTATAATCCCAGCACTTTGGAAGGCTGAGGCGGGAGGATCACTTGAGCCCAGGAGTTGGAAACCAGCCTGGGCAACACAGTGAAACCCCATCTCACTGTTAAATATTTTTTGTTTTTTTTTTTTTAAGGAAAACAAAACAAAACAAAAAAGCTGTACAGCATATTACTGTGCTGAACACTGTAGGCAACTGTAACACAATGGTAAGTATTTGTGTATATGAACACAGCTAAACATAGAAAAGATACAGTAGAAATATGGTATGATGATCTTATGGGATCACCACTGTATATATGGTCTGTCATTGACTTGAATGTCATTATGTGTCACATGACAGTGTGTGCAATTTATTGTAAATCAATTATTCCTTAATTAAACCTGAAAAAAAAAAAAACCTGACAAACCACATAGGAAAAGTTTAAATAAAAGAACAAGAGACTATGGGAGCTAAAAAAAGATACAAATAGGAAGATAAACACTAGGAAAAAAAGCAGAAATAAGTATTTCTAAATTATAAATTATGTTTATATATAAATAAGCAACTTTTAAAACTAGCAACATATAATTTGTGATCACCAGGTGTGAAATAAGAAACAAACAAAAACCAAGCAATGTAATGACAGCTGACAATTTGGCACTTCTCAAAGAGGTTCTGGGGGACCTGAGCTGCTTCTAGGGGGTCCCACAGGATCAAAACTAGTTTTTATTTTTTTTTGAGATGGAGTCTCACTCTGTCACCCAGGCTGAAGTGCAGTGGCGCCATCCCAGCTCAATACAACCTCCACCTCCCGGGTTCCAGTGATTCTCCTGCCTCGGCCTCCCCAGTAGCTGGGATTACAGGTGGGCACCAACACACCTGGTTAATTTTTATATTTTTAGTAGAGACAGGGTTTCACTATGTTGGCCAGGCTGGTCTCAAACTCCTGACCTCAAGTGATCCACCCACGTCGGCCTCCCAAAGCGCTGGGATTGCAGGCATGAGCCACCATACCTGGCCTAAAACTACTTAAGATGTTACTTGCTTTTAAATTCTAATTCTCTGAAGACTGTACAGTGGGGCGCAGTGTAGTGTATTTAACGTTTTGGCTCAGAGTCCAATATATAGTCCAAAGTACCATGTTCCCAGAATTTATGTACGGCCTTTATATGAATAAATCTTGATCAAGGATTCAGAAAAAAGTCTTAGGTTTGCATATAAGTCACTCAAAGCAGTAAAACAGGCTACTTGGATTTCCAGCAATATTTGTGCTTTTATTCTTGGCCATTACTTTTGGGGAAGGGTTGTCTGTCCTGGTTGGTTTTCATAGAGGCCAGTTGTGGGAGGATGTGATTTTTCTGTGTCTCCAGATGACAGTGCCTCTATTTCCGTGGCACTGCTGGCTGCCTACAGCTGTCATTCCAGAGGGCCCTTTGTCCACAGTGATTAGCCTCCTCTTTGAATGTACATGAAATAGGTGTATTTTTGTATGTTCTTTTCTCTGCTTTGCCCTTGGATTTAACTTCCTTTTTGAATTCACATCATGGCAGCTGAATGAACATAGTTTTTATTCCAGCATTTGCTATTTATTCCAAGAGACCTTTGTTCCTGTGAGAGGGAGTGGGTTTGGTTTGCAGTGGTTTCTTGCATATATATATATATATATATATATTTATTTATTTTTTTATTTTTATTTTTATTTTTTTTTGAGACAGGGTCTCACTCCTGTCGCCCAGGCTGGAGCTCAATGGCATGAACACAGCTGACTACAGCCTTGACTTCCCAGGCTTGGGTACCTTCTCCCACCTCAGACTCCCAAGTAGCTGGGACTATGGGCGCGCACCACCATGCCCGGCTAATATTTTAAATTTTTAGTAGAGACAGGGTTTCGCTCCATTGCCTAGGCTGGTCTCAAACTCTGGGACTCAAGCAATCTGCCCCCCTCAGTCTTCCACAGTGCTAAGATTACCAGTGTGAGCCACCGTGCCCAGCCGGTTTCTTATATATTTACATCTCTGCAAATACAAAGATGACAGTTATTGCTGACAGAGCCCTATGTCCTGGAAGTGTGTGTTTCTTGCTTTAAATGCACGTGTCAGGACAGGTGCGGTGGCTGACACCTGTAATCCCAGCACTTTGGATTACAGGCAGATCATTTGAGGTCAGGAGTTCAAGACCAGCCTGGCCAACATGGTGAAACCCCATCTCTACTGAAAATACAAAAATTAGCCAGGCGTGGCGGTGCGTGCTATAATTCCAGCTACTCAGGAAGCTGAGGCATGAGAATCACTTCAACTGCAGAGGTTGCAGTGAGCTGAGGTCGTACCACTGCACTCCAGCCTGGGTGACAAAGCAAGAGCAAGACTGTCTCAGAAACAAACAAACAAAAAGCATGTCTGAAGATTATAAAAAAAGACAGTTAAAAAAAAAAAAAGACTGCACAGTGGACTTTTCCAGAGGTTACGTGCACAAACAGGTATGAGAATCCAGCTGTCTTCTAATAAGCCAAACATTAAAAGGACTTGCATAACTTTCAACCAATGTCACTCTTTCCATCAATTTTTTTCTTTTTTTTTTTTTAACTTACTTTTCTTTTTTTTTTCTTTTTGAGACAGAGTTTCACTCTTATTGCCCATGCTGGAGTGCAGTGGCGCGATCTCGGCTCACCGCAACCTCCGCCTCCCAGGTTCCAGCGATTCTCCTGCCTCAGCCTCCTGAGTAGCTGGGATTACAGGCATGTACCACCACGCCCAGCTAATTTTGTATTTTTAGTAGAGATGAGGTTTCTCCATGTTGGTCAGGCTGGTATCGAACTCCCGACCTCAGGTGATCCACCCACCTCAGTCTCCGTAAGTGCTGGGATTACAGGTGTGAGCCACCGCGCCTGGCCTGATTATTTTTCAAAATATTTTTCATTAGCTGGCGCGGTGGCTCACGCCTGTAATCCCAGCACTTGGGGAGGCTGAGGAAGGCAGATCATGAGGTCAGGAGTTCAAGACCAACCTGGCCAACATAGTGAAACCCCATCTCTACTAAAAATACAAAAATTACCCGGGCGTGGTGGTGCATGCCTGCAGTCCCAGATACTTGGGAGGCTGAGGCAGGAGAATCACTTGAACCTGGGAGGTAGAGGTTGCAGTGAGTCGAGATTGCACCACTGCACTCCAGCCTGGGTGACAGAGTGAGACTCTGTCTCGGAAAAACAAAAACAAAATATTTTTCATTAAAAATATTATGTTAACATGTAATGGATTTATTATTTTTAAACAAATGAACACAGTATATTTTATTTTTTTTTTTTAGACAAAGTCACACTCTGTCACCCAGGCTGGAGTGCAGTGGTGCAATGTTGGCTCACTACAATCTCTGCCTCCTGGGTTCAAGCAATTCGCCTGCTTCAGCCTCCTGAATAGCCGGGATTACAGGCACCCGCCACCATGCCCGGCCAATTTTTGTATTTTTAGTAGAGACAGGGTTTCACCATGTTGGCTACGCTGGTCTTGAACTCCAGACCTCAGGTGATCTGTCCCCGTTGGCCTCCCAAAGTGCTGGGATTACAGGCGTGAGCCACTGCACCCAGCCCCACAGTATATTTTAAATTTCTCAGTTTTAATTTCTAAGAGGGGCTAGGCATGGTGGCTCACACCTGTAATCCCAGCCCTTTGGGAGGCCAAGGTGGGAGGATCACTTGAGCCTAGGAGTAGAGACCAGCCTGGGCAATATAGTGAGAACCTGTCTCTATGAAAAATACAAAAAAATTAGCTGGGCATGGGGGTGCGCACCTGTAGTTCCAGCAACTCAGGAGGCTGAAGTTGGGGGACTGTTTGAGCCTGAAAGATGGAGGTGGTGGTGAGATGAGATGGTACCACCACACTCCAGTCTGAGCAACAGAGCTAGGCCCTTTCTCAAAAAAATAAAGTAAAATAAAAATAAAATAACCCCTAAGATGGCAAATATTGATAGATAAAATTCATATAAACAAAAGCTCTCCAGGATCCTACTATTAGGGAAGACCTGCTGTCCATCCACCATCACTGAACTCTCCACCAAGGCCCTGGCTGGAGGACCGGCCAACAGCTCTGAGAGAGGGACCTGAGGTCAAATGCTGCCTCACCATGCAGGTGCCAAACTGTGGCTGGTCCACAAATCACTCTTTGTTTACAATTACCAAAGTACAGAAATTGAAACTCAACCTTTAGAAACACTAAGAGCAACTGTACACTGCCACAACAACCAACACATGCTCCATGGGCTTGTATGGTGTGTGGCCTTGGCTTTTTGCCATCTAATTTTTTTAGTTATTCATTTTTATTATAGCTTTATGGAAGTGTTGACCTGGAACAGTATGGAAATGTTTAAAGTGCTCCTGAACCACAAATACAATGAGAAGCATTTAACTGGATGTTTTTTAATTAAATGGCAATAGGGATGAAACCTAAAGCAAAATATTATGAGTGGAAACCATTTCTCCCTCAAGAAGACTTCTCCTATGTATGTCACTTCTAATATAAATATCAACCAAATAGCCCTTACAATGGAAATCGGCAATGGTAAAGAAAACCATACATACCCTCTTCAGTGAAGAATTTTTCCACGGGTCCCAAGAACTGATTGATTTCATTAAGTTCATCTTGGCTAACTTCTGGAAATGGGAAAACTTCTTTCTAAAAATAGTAAATATTTTCTAAAAAATTTAATTTTTAGCACACTCCCATCACGGAAATATCAGTTAAAAGGGAAGGAAAAACATGTGCTCCACTCCACCCTGGCCAGCGGGACATGACGTACTGAAGGAACTGGAAAGCAAACCTCACAAGGTTCCTGAGATACAGAAACTATGTGCAGGCTCCACCACCCACATCCATCTCCCTCCCCTGTTCAAATAGGTTCTTCCCGATTTTCATCAGTTTTCCTTCTCAGTACAAGGGATGATAATAGTCCCATGAAACAAGGAGCCCAAGACTAACATTTAGAAGCCTGGGGGTCTGGTCCTTGATTTCAGGCTTACTCATTATGTGGCCTTCACCAAATCCCTTCAGCTCTCTAAACTACCCCTTTCTCACCCATAACATGCAGGTAATATTTACTCAAGGCCCTTGTGAGAATCGTGGAAGATAGTGGATGTGGAAACTCCTTACTGAAATGGACAATTCTACATCAATTATTGTGTGAGCTCAAAGATGCTATGCTGACAAGAGCACATCATGCTTACCAAGTCTCATCGATCCCTACAGCCGCTGTCTCTCCTGCTCACAGACATCTGCTCCCTGTGCTGAGCCCCTCTGGACTTTTGGGCTCTGCTACCCCTTCAATTGCCAGCATGACATGAGCTTTGGATGTGGGCTTCAGGCTGTTGAGCAGTGATGTCCTGAGTCAGAGCTATAAGCCCAAGCATCACCTGTCCTCATGGCGCCTCTCACCAAGTGTTCTAGAGAAGTCTTGGGGAGACCTCAACCTTCTCCTCAGACCTTGTACAGCTAATCAGCCAACAGATTTCTCTACTCTATCAATATGCTCGCACTGCTTTCTCCTCTCTGGGCCCAGGACCACAGGCTTATAGGTGAGTCCCTAACTAAAAGTGACAGCCAACTTAAAGGAATCCCTGCCTCCATCCATTCCAAAACCACCCTGAAGGTGGTATAGAAAAAAAAAAAGGTTGGAGGCCAGGCACGGTGGCTCACGCCTGTAATCCCAGCACTTTGGGAGGCCGAGGCGGGCGGATCACGAGGTCAGGAGTTTGAGACCAGCCTGACCAACATGGTGAAACCCCGTTTCTACTAAAAATACAAAAATTACACGGGCTTGGTAGCACGCGCCTGTAATCCCAGCTACTCAGGAGGCTGAGGCAGGAGAATTGCTTGAACCCGGGAGGTGGAGGTTGCAGTGAGCCGAGATTGCGCCATTGCACTCCAGCCTAGGTGACAGAGTGAGACTCCATAAAAAAAAAAGAAAAGAAAAAGAAAAAAACAAGCTTAGCTGGTTGCAGTGGCTACTGCCTGTAATCCTAGTCCTTTGGGAAGCTGACGCAGGGGGATTGCTTAAAGCCCAGGAGTTCAAAACCAGCCTGGGCGTGGTTGCACACGCCTGTAGTTCCAGCTACTCAGGAGGCTGAGGTGGGAGGATCCCCTGAGCCTGGGGAGGTTGAGGCTGCAGTGAGCTGTGATTGCACCACTGCACTCCAGGGTGGGCAACAGAGTAAGACACTGTCTCAAGGAAAAAAAAAACAAGAAAAAAAAAAAAAAACAAGCTGATGGCTCCATCACTCTGCAGCCTTTTATATCAAAGC
Source organism: Homo sapiens (assembly GCF_000001405.40). NCBI lineage: Eukaryota > Metazoa > Chordata > Mammalia > Primates > Hominidae > Homo > Homo sapiens. The sequence goes on along the minus strand of NC_000003.12, from coordinate 128,883,030 downwards.
TCAGTCTCCTTCACTGAACACAGAGGCTCACTGACACTTGGGTCTTGTGCAATGGGCTGTGTTAGAGATCATTCTGGTACCAGTGGGCAGGCCAGATAAGACTGCCTGGCAACTAATTGGCCTTCAGGTACAACCACAGAAAACCTGCCACACAGGAGAGATTGCAGGGGCGTGGGAGAAAGATCCTGATGTTATCAAATCAGGTCAATGCCTTAGGGGAGGAGAGTTCAATTGCAATAAACAGTTTGTAAATTATCTAAAAAAGTGGAACCTGTTATTCAAAGAAATCTAGTGCAGAAACCAAATATGTAAAACAGACAGAAGCAGGCGGCTCTGACTGAGACTGCTGATAGGGAAAACAGGCACCCAAATCCCACCCACTCAACTTCCCACCCATCCCTGCAGCAGTTCCAGGACACTCCATGAATAGCTTGGGTCCAGCTTAGGGCAGGGTGACAACCACTGGCCTACACAATCTGAGATTCTAAGCATCATGTCCCATGTTTCTGCTCTAATCCCAGTAAGGCTGTGAGAGATGACACTGGCCTGATCCAAAGTAGCAGCAGAAGGGCCTAAAAGTGGTCAGATTCTAAGAACCTAAAAGTAGAGAAAACCAGATCTTCTGTGGAATTAGAAGTGGACTAGGAGAATAAGAGTACAAGGTGACTCCAGGTGTTCTGTTTGAACAGGTGGAACAACAGAGCCACCATTATCTATGATAAAGAAGGCTGGTGGAAGGAGCAGGATTGGGTGGGAACCAGGAACTCAGTTTGGGATCTATTAATCTCAAATGCCTGTTAGACCTCTTAGTACAGCTTTTGAGTACAAAGGTAGATTAAAAAAAGAATCTTGGCTGGGTGTGGCAGGGCGTGCCTGTAGTCCCAGCTACTGGGGATGCTGAAGTGGGAGGATCTATTGAGCCTTAGGAGTTCAAGGTTGCAGTGAGCTATGATGGCACCACTGCACTCCAGCACAGGTGACAGAGAAAGCCCCCAACTCTGAAAAAGCAAAAGGAATCTGGAGTTCAGGGAGAAATCTGAACTGAAGAAAGAAACTTGAGGCATCAGGATATTGATGATATTTAAAGCCAGGACACTAAATAAGGTCACCCAGCAGATGGCTGTAGATGAAACGAGACCCAGCCTTAGTAAATTCCAACTTGGCTAGTTGGAAACACTGGTCACTGTTTAGCGGTCAAGGAGCTGAATAAGAACCAGCAATGGACACAGAGAAGTATCAGCCAGTGAAGTATTTAGAACATTCAGAGAATGGCGAGAACAGTGATTCAGAAACCAGAGACGAAAGTGCGTCAACAGGGTGGAAGGATGAACGGTGTCAGATGCCAATGATGGGTCAAGTAGGATGAGGTCTGAGAACAGATCACACAATTTGATAACAGAGAGGTCATTACTGACTTCTATGGCCATTAGGGACAAATGCCTGAATGGTAAGGGCTCAAGATCCAGTAGAGAGAACAGTTAATGATGCAGAGAAAGGAAAGAATTACCCTTGAGTAGGTGAGAAGACCTGGAGTCTAATGAGAGGTTGGTTTTGCCAGGAGCAGACAGTTCACAGTAACAGAATGTAGATAATACCGGCACATATGCAGCGGGAGGGGGTAACTGTGCCTGTGAACTTCTCATCCGACTGCATGGATTTTCCCAGTGGAATGGGAAGCAAAGCTGACAGCTGAGAGTAAAGGCAGGGCAGGGCAGGTAGTGCCAGAGGTTTAAAGATGGAAACAGATCTGAAAGATCTGTGTTCTTTCTTCACCATGCTGCTGGATAGCAGGAAGTCCCAGGATAGAGCACCACACTGCCCCAGGTCCTGGGTAAAAGGTTTTCCAATATGTTCAAGACATAGCTCCGCACTTTCTAGCTGGGCAAACTGCTTTTAGTCTGAGTCTTAGCTTCTTCATCTGTAAAGTTGCTTGCTATAAAGGTATCAGCCTGACAACCTCAGAGGAACGTTCCAAAGAGAAGCCAGGGAATAACTTCTGTGATACAGGATCAGCCAACATTCAGCCAAGTTCAAAGTAGGGCACCTCGACGAAATAGCAAGTATACTGTTGGTTTCCTTAGAAGATAAAATGAAATACAAAGGAAAGAGCAAGAAATGTGTTTATTCCTATTTTGTAGATGAATGCACTGAGGCACAGGGAGGTGCAGCCGTCAGCTCCAAGGTCACAAGACTAAGTGTTGAAGCCAGCTCTCTCTTCTGCTGCACAGTACTCTACAGTTTAAGAAGACTCTCCATGCACCGTTTATCTCACTGGGGCTCTACAACACATCTGTGAAGGAGACACAACACTATCTCCATTTTAAGGCTGAAAGAACTGAGTCTTGGCCGGGCGCGGTGGCTCACCCCTGTAATCCCAGCACTGTGGGAGGCCGAGGTGGGCGGATCACCCGAGGTCAGTTCTAGACCAGCTTGGCCAACATGGTGAAACCCCGTCTCTGCTAAAAATACAAAAAAAAAAAAAGCCGGGCAGGCGCCTGTAATCCCAGCTACTCCGGAGGCTGAGGCAGGAGAATCGCTTGAACCCAGGAGGGAGGTTGCAGTGAGCACTCCAGCCTGGGCGACAAGAGCGCGACTCTGTCTCAAAAAAAACAACTGAGTTTCAAAGTCAACGAGCCAAGACCAAACCCAAGTCTTCCAACTCTAAGAAGACAATGAGTGTTTTATAACCAAACTGTTACTATTGGCTGGGTTGTGCCACCCTTGGGAAGCATCTTGGAGCCAGATTTCTGAGGAACCTCAATGGCAGGGAGAGGCGCTGGGCTCACCTGGGGAAGGAAGCCCCAGGGCGCTGGAAGGTGACTGAGGAGGGACATGGTGTAAGCTGTTTAGGAATCAGAGAGGAAGCCCCGCACATTTCCAGACCAGACCAGCTGAGATGAAGGCTGCTTTGTTAATTACCTAGCCTAGAGTTTTCCGAATTCCCCTGACAAAATTTAGCTGGAACACGTCACCACCACATTTCCAAGGGTCCCCCGTCTTGGAAATGTCTCACCCTTTCTCTGGGAAGGTTTTCCTGGAACTCAGGAATCCGGAGTGTTAACACGCCTCGGCCGCAGGGTGTATCTCTCTGGCAGGTTTGGGGAATCTCACAAAGTTCAACACCAGTCTTGCAGCTGAGGGTGAAAAGCGGGAGCCAGACAGCAAGGGTTCGCCCAGGGCTCGCGTTACCTTCTTGATTTTGCCTAGGAAAAGCTCTTTGGCGAAAGCTCGTACAGGCGGGCTGGTGCGCAGTAGCCGCCGGTTCGCGGTAGAGACCACCAGACCCCGGCAGGCACGAGCCGCAGCCGTGGTGCGCAGGAAGAGCCCGCAGCCGCTCATGCTGCCCGATGTTCCCCAGCCTCAGCCTCAGTCTCCCCTTCTTAGCGCCGCAGGGACACACACACGTCTGATGACGTTACTGGCCCGCGACAACGTGCAGTACTCACTGCGCTTGCGCGGTCCCCCGCAGCAGGGGATGGAGAGGCCAGAAGGGCGGGAAGGCTACCACCTGCCGCGCCCAAGGCCTTAGTCACGTGCACCTGGCTGGCCCGCGCCGCCTGATGACGTCACACGCCTACGCTTCCCGCCGGCCCCACTGCGCTTGCGCGGCCAAAGGAGCTGGCCGGAGGAAATTGTAGGCCCTGGGCCGCGGGCATCTCGGCGGGTATAATCTCTGGCCGTCGTGACGGCGGTGACGGACCTGTTTTTCACATACCAGCGGTTGTTTCCATAAATGCCAGCCATGGGAAATCTCCCTGTGTACAGAAACCTAAAGGCCGGCTCAGCTGCCTCCACTTGTCTCTTTTGTCACTTGTGGCCACGAGGCCGTGGTAAAACTTGAGAAAAGCAAAAGAATGAGGGAAATGCGCTGTATTGGGGTCTCTGCAGGGGCACGGTAAGGGTAAGGGTCCATTTTTAACTGGATGGTGGATTCCTGAGATACTGTTTTGTTCCTAGTTGACATGTATGTTACATATATTTTTTGGAAAAGGAAAAGAAAGTGGGTGTTCAGTCACAGAGCGGTCTGGATACAACTGAGTCACCTCTGTCCTGGGAAACACTAACTTAAAAGGCAGGCGGAGGAAGAGAAACTACAGAGAGAGCTGAGAAGAGATGGGAACTATTGGATGGGATGGGACAGGCCAGGCTGTAACCGCCCAAGGTTACAGCCCGCTGACTAGACAGCTGATTTATCAAGACGGAAATTGCAATAGAGAGAGAGTAATTCACGCAGAGCCGGGTGTGTTGGAAAGGGAGTTTTATTAGCCAAATCGGTCTCCCCAAAAACGGATCGGAATTTTTAAGGATAATTTGGCGAGTAGAAGCTCGGGAAGTGGGAGGTGCATGATTGGTCGGGTTGGAGATGGACTGATAGGGGGCCGAAGTGAGTTTTTCTTGCTGTCTTCTGTTCCTGAATGGGATTGCAGAACTAGTTGAGCCAGATTACCAGTCTGGGTGTTGGTAGGTTTTACAACAGTGATGTTATTCCCAGGAACAATTTGGGGGACGTTCAGACTCTTGCAACCAAAGGCTGTATGGCCTCTAAACTGTAATTTCTAATCTTATAGCTAATTTGTTAGTCCTCCAAAGGCCAACTGGTCCCAGGCAAGAAGAGGTTGTTTTTTGTTGTTGTTGTTGTTGTTTTCCCGGGAAAGGGCTATTTTTGTTTTGAAGTTAAACTATAAACTCATTCCTTCCCAAGGTTAGTTCAGCCTACGCTCAGGAATGAACAAGGACAGCTTGGAGGTTAGAAGCAAGATGGAGTTGGTTAGGTCAGATCTCTTTCATTGTCTCGGTTATAATTTTGCAGTGGCGGTTTCAAGGCCAGGCCATAGGGGCCCACGTAGGAGGCAGGGCATGCCTGGCACCTCACAGCCCAACAGTGCTCTGAACGTGGCACATGGGCCCTCTACAGATCTTCAGCCAGCTCCTCCAGGAAGAATGCCACTCTGCTTTTTCACCCAGACCGGTAATCTGGCTCAACAAGTTTTGCAATCCCACCTAGGAACAGAAGACAGCAAGAAAAACTCACTTCAACCCCCTATCATTCCATCTCCAACCCAACCAGTCAGCACTCCCCACTTCCCGAGCTCCTACTCGCCAAATTATCCTTAAAAACTCCGATCCCTGTTTTGGGGGAGACTTGCTTGTTCCCCGACTGTAGCATTGACCACAGTGTTGGGAAATGCCTCCAGCTTCCATTGTGTCAACTCCTTGAGAAGAAAAAGAAATCCCTTTCATCTCAGCAAGCTAAGCTCAGCACCAAAAAAGATTACATTGCTAACACAACATCAAGAAAAAAGAGCTCAAAACTCTGCAAGGCGTAGAGTCTAAACTGCAAAATATTTGCAGGCATCTTTTCAGATTATTTTACCTTGTCTAAGGTCTCTCACCTGGTTTCTTCATCAGTGGTTGATATTTACTTGCTTAGCATTCAGCTTCACAAGAAGGTATTTGGAAACAACTGCCTTTGTAAATTATCCCCATAGGTAAAACAAAGAAAAATATACATATGTTGCAAAAACTGTTTCAATTTTGAGCTGCTGTACTTTTTTGCCAAACAAATGTAGTCAAATCAGTCAAGTACTCTGTTAATGTGTCAAATGTTTAGTGTACACAGGTCTCCCTAAATCAACCAAATGAGAAATCCAGTGGCACAGAATTTTACAAAACAAAAATTAGAAAAATGTTAAGGCATAGTTTCTAATTGCTCCAATAGAGTATAGCAGAAGAGTTTTGCTGTTTCACTACTATACTAGTTTCTAAATTCAGTTTCCTCATCTGTAAATATGAGTATGATACCCTTTATCTCACAGGACTTTTAAAAGGTTTAAGTAAATCCACATGAAAGCACTTAGCACAGCAAGTGATAAAAATGACAATAGTTACACTTTGATCCTTCCATCTTATATTTAAGTATTAGCCTCTGAGAAATATGATGTTGTTTTAAACAGTTTCCCCTGTTCAGTGTACTAAAAGAAAAACTTCAGCTGAATTAAATTTAAAGGAGCTTAATTGGCCGGGTCGGGTGCAGTGCCTCATACCTGTAATCCCAGCACTTTGGGAGGATGAAGTGGGCAGATCACTTGAGGTCAGGAGTTCGAGACCAGCCTGGCCAACATTGTGAAACCCTGTCTCTACCAAAAATACAAAAATTACTGGGCATGGTGGTGAGTGCCTCTAATCCCAGCCACTCGGTAGGCTGAGGCATGAGAATCACTTGAACCCGGGAGGTGGAGGTTGCAGTGAGCCAAGATTGCACCACTGCACTCCATCCTGGACGACAGAGCAAGACTCTGTCTCAAAAGAAAAAAAGTTTAATTGAGCAATCGATTCAAATCAGGCAGCTTTCTGAGCCAGAGCAAGCTCAGACACTCCAGCACAGCCATGTAATGGAAGATTTATGGACAGCAAAGGAAAGTGAGGTACAGAAACAGCTGGATTGGTTACAGCTCTGCCTTGCCTTATTTGAACATGGTTTGAACAGTTGGCTACATTTGATTGGCAAAAACTCTGTGATTGGCACAAGTATAGGCTACGGTCTGTTTATGCCTCCACTTATAGTTCACAATGTGCAGAAAACCTATAAGCCGAACTTAAAATATATAAGGAAGCAGCTTTAGGCTAAACTTGATTTAACAACTGTTTAAAATATCCTCATGGTAGTTCTGAATGTCTCCTCACATCAATACAACTGATTCACAACATAACTTAACAGAAAGTGAACATTCTTTAGCCATAATGTTAGTGTTAGCATAGCAGAATCCTTGACTCTGGGTATGAGGAACATTGAGTAGAAACTACTGCTTGATCCCTTACTATTAAAGCTGAGGCTGAGATTGGACTGATTATTTTACAAGCCAAAGACCACCAAACCATCAAAAGGTAGGAGAAAGGCTTTCCTGCAGATGCTGCTGCAAAGACCTGCCCCTTCCACCTTACACCACCATCCCCAAGGGCCTAGAGGCCTCTGCCTAGAGCTGGGGGAAGAGGAGACTGCGAAGAACGATCCCATCTTTTAAAAACCGGACAGAAATCACGGATTCCTTCCACTTACATTCCCTTGGGAAGAACTTAATTTGGGGGCAGGGGCTAGGAAAGGGAGTGCCTGGGCAGAAACGGTTTTGACAAGCGTTCGTATCAGGACAATTTGGGAAAACCCAGGTGAGTGATTACTGAGTGACCCTCGACTCCGGTGTTTTGACACCAAAATGTGCAAGGCTTCCTCTCTGATTCTTAAACATCTCAGGCCATGCCGCTCCCATGTCACCCTCTAGTGGCCTGTGGGCTTCCTTGCCAGCTGAGCCCTAGCCCTACCCCCGCCTTTGAGGTTCCGCAGAAATCTAGCTGCAGGGTGACTTCCACAGGTCTCACAACCCAGCCAATAGTAACAGCTAGGTTATTAAACACACCATCCTCTTAGAGGTGAAAGGCTTAGCCTTGGGTTCAATTCATTCAGCTTTAAAATGGAGCTAGTGATTTGTCTCACTTGAAGATGTTGTAGAGCCCAGTGAGATATGTAGTGCATGGAGATTGGAAGGTACTGTGCAGCAGAGGACATGGACAGTGCAGGCTCAAGAAGATCTTGTGACCTTGAGCAAGTCACTTTTCCTCCCTGTTCCTCAGTGTGCTCATCTACAAAATAGGAGTAAACACAGTAGCGTTTCCCCCTTCCTAGGGGTGCCTTGTTTTCAGCTTGGCTGAATGTTGGCTGATCCTGTATCACAGAAGTTATTCCCTGGCTTCTCTTTGGAACATTCCTCTGAGGTTGTCAGGCTGATCCCTTTATAGCAAGCAACTTTACAGATGCAGAAGCTAAGACTCAGACTAAAAGCAGCTTGCCCTGCTAGGAAATGCAGAGCTATGTCTTTAACATATGGGAAACCCTTTTACCCAGGACCTGGGGCAGTGTGGTGCTCTATCCTGGGATCTCCTGCCTCCCAGCAGCATGGCGAAGAAAGAACACAAATCTTTCAGATCTGTTTCCATCTTTAAACCTCTGGCACCACCTGTCCTGCCCTGCCCTTTCTCTCAGCTGTCAGCTTTGCTTCCCATTCCACTGGGAAAATCCATGCAGTCAGATGAGAACTTCACAGGCACAGTTACCCCCTCCCCCTGCATATGTGCCCACATTATCTACATTCTGTTACTATGAACTGTCTGCTCCTGGCAAAACCAACCTCTCATTAGACCCCAGACCTTCTCACTTACTGAAGGGTAATTTCCTTTCTCTGCATCATTAACTGTTCTCTCTAATGGATCTTGAGCCCTTACCATTCAGGCGTTTGTCCCTAATGGCCATGGAAGTCAGTAGTGACCTCTCTGTTGTCAAATCATGTGATCTGTTCTCAGACCTCATCCTACTTGGCCCATCTTTGGCATCTGACACCGTTCATCCTTCCACCCTGTTGACACACTTTGTTCTCTGGTTTCTGAATCACAATTCTCACTATACTCTGAATGTTCTAAATACTTCACTGGCTGATACTTCTGTGTCCATTGCTGGTTCCTTCTTGGCTCCTCAACTGCTAAACACTGGCCATGTTTTTCACTAGCACAGTTGGAGTTGTCTATGGCTCAGAATGTGGACATTTCTTTTCCTCTACAACCATCCCGTGGATGACCTAATTTAGTGTCCTGACTTTAACTACCATCAATATCCTGATGGCTCACATTTCTCTTGCAGCGCAGATTTTCCCCTCAACTCTAGTTTTTATATCTGTCTTTGTACTCAAAAGCTCCATATAGAGATCTAATAGGCATCTAAAAGTGGCATATGCAAATCTGAGTTCCCCATCCCACCCAGTCCTGTTTTCCCACAAGTGTTCTTTATCTAGTTAATGGCGACTCTTATTCCACTTGTTCAGACCGAACATATGCGGTCACTTGTGTCCCCTCTTATTCTCCTAGTCAACATCCAATTGAGCAGCAAGTCCAGTGCTCTCTGCCTTCAAGTTAGTTATATTGAGAATGACCACTTTTAGGCCCCTCCTCTGATACTACATTGGGTCAAGCCAGTGTCATCTCTCAGCATTACTGGGACTTGGGTTAATTAGGTAAGATGAAACATGAAGGATTAGAAATAAAGGCTGAATACAGACTTAAAACCAGGAATCCAGACTAAACACTCAAACATGGAGTCCATCGTGGCCCCAGGGCCTTTGCGCTTGGCATTCTCTCCATCTGGAACACTCTGCCCATTGCGTTAGTTGTTCTCTAAATGCCTTCAGGCATTCTCAGAAACGTCCTGACTTTGTCTTCCTTCATGGTACATGTCATCACCTGCCTGTGTATTGTTTCCTTATTTTTTTCTCTTTCTTTCCTACTAGGCTGTCAGCCCATCAGAATGGAGACTTCTGCCTGCTTCTCCCCTTGGTGTGCCTTGGTTTCTGGAACAGGCCCAGCATGCAGTGGGGTCTCAGTGAATGTGCACTGAAGGAGTAGATACTGGAGAGCACAAACACGTATCAGGTGGTGAGAAGAATTGCTCCTTTACTATTTATTGACCCCTATTATGTGCTCAGCCATGATCTAGGCTGTAGACAAAAGCAGGAATTTAGAAAAAAAAACAAAACCAGCTGCTCCTTGTTGCTGGTACTGTGCAGGAGAGACAAACAGAGTATTGCTCAGTGTGGTGGCAGAGGGAAACACCGCAGAGAGCGAAGCAGGGCTCAGGGAAACCAGGACAGCAGAGATGGGGCTGGAGTGGCCTGAGAGAAGGGCAGTGGTGGGAGAGGAGACCTAGGACGTCAGGGGGCCCAGGTCCTGCAGGCCTTGGGGCTGCTCTGAGGACTTTTACTCTGGGTGAGGTGGGAGGCCCAGAAGGATGCTGAGCTGAGGGGGACAGGCCCCGAATGTCATGAAGGGATGAAGTGGGAACGGCTAGCGACATGTGCACAGGGGAGGCTCTCACTGTAGATGGCATAGGCAGAAAAGGCTTCTCTGAGGAGGTGACACTGTACTGAGCCCTGGCCTTGGCCAAGTTTCTAGCTTCTGTGAACTTGGAGCTTTAACACCTGCCCTCTACGTATACGCGGGACGTCATGTTCTGAACAACCTCATGATATGCCAAGTCACCTTGCCTTGGCCCCTTATCTCCCACGTCACCTTCTTCCCCAGAGCAATCTTCCTCCGAAGGGTACACTTTTCTTTTTTATTTTTCTTTTTCAAGAGAGAGACAGGGTCTCCTGTCATTCAGGCTGGAGTGCAGTGGCGTGATCAGAGCTTACTGCAGCCTCGAATCCTGGGTTTAAGTGATCTTCCTGCCTCAGCCTCCCAAGTAGCTGGGACTACAGGTGTGTGCTATCCTGCCTGGCTAATTTTTTCATTTTCAAGTTTTTGTTGAGGTGGGATCTCACTATGTTGCCCAGGCTGGTCTTGAGCTCCTGGCCTCGCAAAGTGATGGGATCACAGTTGTGCGCCACTGTACCCAACCCACTTTTCAAATACAAACCAACCAATCCAGTGTCCGCACCCCAGACACTTCCCCTGTGGGCTGTCACACTGGGACCATTATCCTACTGCCCTAATCACCTCAGTGACAGGAACCAGACCCCTATGGACTGGAATGATTGGAACTGCCCTCTCCTAAGCTTGCTCATTGCCCCTCACTCTTCTCCCTGTAGGCAGCACAGGAAAGGTGCTTGCTCAGAGTACCCCTCCCTCTGCCTCCTGACGGACCCTGCTGCTTCCTGTGTGGCCCTGCCTTCCTTCTGGGAACTGTGACTATCTTCAGTTTTACTCATCTGATCTGCAGGCCTTATTATACCTCAAACTTTTTATTAATACACAAGAAATAGAGTGGCCTGGAATGACAAGACACTTTGGACACAAGATAAACAAATGAGAACATATGAACTATGCACCATTTTCCAATATTCTGAAGAAGTGTAATAGTTTGATACATGAGTTTTTTTCAGGTGATGGGAAGCACTGTGGCTGTTGGTGGGATCTGCTGAAGGCGGGGACTTCACTGTGATGATGGAGCTCTCTGCCTCAGGTTTCCTGCAGCCCAGCATTTTTGTATGAGGCCATGGTGTTGTGAATTTTTTGTTCCAAAGATTCCTGGATGTGATCTGCGTGAATTCCATGGACATCACGAGCTCTTTCCTTCTGTGATCCTGGTGGTCATTTATTATTTTTTAACCTTCCCGAAAAGATGCAGCGTGAACCTCGTGATCAAAGAGCAGCTCCTGGTAGGGCCTTGGTGTCTCCCGCTGGCCCATGTTGATTTACAGATGCCATATAATGTGGTGTAAGGTGGTCTTTCCCTGGGTTTGCAGGCAGCAATGTGTTGATGAGTCCTTCTCCCTTTTTTTAACATTTATTTTTTTGGAGTCTCGCTCTGTCGCCCAGGCTGGAGTGCAGTGGTGTGATCTCAGCTCACTGCAAGCTCCGCCTTCCGGGTTCACACCATTCTCCCGCCTCAGCTTCTCGAGTAGCTGGGACTACAAGCGCCCGCCACCACGCCCGGCTAATTTTGTTTTTGTATTTTTAGTAGAGACGGGGTTTCACCATGTTACCTAGGGTGGTCTCGGCTAGTGTCGATCTCCTGACCTCATGATCTGCCCACCTCGGCCTCCCAAAGTGCTGGGATTATAGGCGTGAGACACCGCGCCTGGCCTCTTCTCCTTCTGAAGAAAGGAACAACTGTATCTTATATTTGCCACACAGTATTTGTTTCTTCAGCTCCACAAAGGTCTGACAAATGGTAAGGTTCTGTTTATTGTGGTGTAAAAAATTACTCCAGATTCCACCTCTACCCATTCACCATAGGGCAGTATAACAGGGAGTTGCACAGAAGGTGTCCAGCTTGTAGCCTATCATAAATCTGGTGCCAAAGACAAAGATATTTTATGTTGTAGTTGGCATCTTGTAAATACAAGTACATTCTGGGGCATCAGGTTCCTGTGGAAATGTTTCTTTTGGTGGTGGTACTGTAGGGCAGATAGTATTTGCCGGAACTTGCCTCAGGCCTCTTCCTCCTGCTTTTGGTGGGGCTCTAGGATGTAGTGAAGTAGCTGCCCCAGCTGGCATGCTACATGACTCAGTGTAGAGTGCCCACGATGGCAGTCACTGGAAGGAGCTGATTGAGGTTGGGTGATTCGGGGCCCTTATTATATCGACTTCACAGCTGTCAACTCCAGAGGCTGGAGGAGCTCTGCTGACCTCTCTAGGTGACCTTCACAGCCACCTGGATCCCAGTGAGAATGTTCTGGGGTAACTGTACCTTGGCTGCACGTGGGTGCTTAATAATGTCACCTGGACTCTCTCCCAACCTCTGACTCTGTGTCCTTCCCTCAGTGTGGATGTCGTGCTCAGGTGGGCTTTCCCTTCAAGGTGACAAGATGGCACCCACAGCCCCAGCCACCCAACAGAAATAGACCTTCTCTCCCCTGCTACCAACCCTTGTCCTGACCCTTGCCACCTGATTGGTCACATGCCCAGGTGTTAGCCAATCACTGTGGCTGTGTAGGTTGGGTTCTTCTGATTGGCGAGGTTGAGGTCATGTGGCTGCTGTTGCCAGGGATACTTGGAGCTGCTCCCCTGTTTTGGTGGGAGATAGTATACCCACTGGCTTCTGTGTAACAGAATCCACGGAGGCATTTTTCCCTCTCCCACCACCTCCTCCCCAGGCCGCATTTCACCCATCCCAGAAAGGAACAAGGAGCAGACTTCTGTCTGAAGATAGGATTTGGGATTCCCCTCAGCTTCAAGATTTGCTGCTTGTCCTGGTGCCATCGGCTACTCACTCAACCAACATGCAATGAGCACCCTCGACATACCAGGCTGTCACTAGGTGTGATACAAGGATGAGCAGGGCTAATGGGACTCCTGTCCTCCAGGAGCTGACACTCTAGTGGAAGTGCACAGACAAATCAAAGACCAATTCAGATCAGATGAGTCCAGATGAGGAAAGAGATAGGATGGGATGGAGGGTGCCATGGAGGTGTCCCCAGCAAATCCCAATTTGCTCACTTCACCATGCACTCAGCCTCATGCAGTGTAGATCATAGGAAATGGAGTACACATCATAGAAAGTCGCCTTCACGTTCAGGCAGCTGATGAAGTCCTGTGGGCTCAGCTTGTTCAGGTCAAAGGTTATGCGGGCCACATCCATCTTCTTGGCAGGCTTATGGGAGACAGACAGTGGGTGCCTCATCCCCTGCATTGAGACAAGCAGATGGTTACACCCCTTGAAGACTTCTCCCAGGGTCCCACTTTTCTCCCCCAACAGGTGGGACCTCACCTGTTCTGATGGGGGCTCCCATTTCTGCCCCTTCTGGAGGACCAGGAGCACTGTATTGCCTGCCAGAGCTTGGAAGGGAGGACTCTTCTTCTGTCTCTACAGTTGTGCCATCTTCCTCCAGCACCAGGAAGAAGGGCTTGTCTGCCAGCATCAGAGTGCCCTGGTCCTGGGGAATAAGGTCGGTGATGCTTCTGCCATCTCTAAGAAGTCAGAGCAAGTCTGGGAAAGCCCCACGTCATAGCTCCTCAGCTGCCAGGGAAAGAACAAGTGGGCTGGGGTCTATGGGGTAGAACTGGAGCCCAGGCCCTCTGCTGTGGAATCACTATGTAGAGACTTTATCTTGGTACCTCTTGGTGCCTGGCTTCAGGGTTCATAGTCTGGAACAATATTGTCCGATAAAATATAATGTAAGCCACATATGTAATTTTTAGTTGAGATATCATTTACATACTATAAAAGTCACCCTCTTAAAGTGTACAATTCAGATCCCAGTACTGGGCAAAATGGTGAGACTCCATCTCTACAAAAAAAAATACATAAATTAGCCAGGTGTGGTGGTGTGTACCTGTAGTCCCAGCTACTCAGGAGACTTGAGGTGGGAGAAACACCTGAGCCCAGGAGATCAAGGATGTGGTGAGCTGTGATCGTGCCACTGCACTGCAGCCTGAGTGACAGAGTGACACCCCATCTCAAAAAAAGCGTATAATTCAGGGTTTTTTGTATATTCACGAAGTTGTGGAACCATCACCACTATCTAACTTCAGAACATTTACATCACCCCAAAAAGAAACCCAGTTCCGGCCGGGCGCGGTGGCTCACGCTTGTAATCCCAGCACTTTGGGAGGCCGAGGCAGGCAGATGACTTGAGATTTTGAGTTCGAGACCAGCCTGATTAACATGGTGAAACCCCATCTCTACTGAAAATACAGAATTAGCCGGACTTGGTGGCACATGCCTGTAATCCCAGCTAGTCGGGAGGCCGAGGCAGGAGAATCACTTGAACCTGGGAGGCAGAGATTGCGGTGAGCCAAGATTGTGCCATTGCACTGCAGCCTGCGAAACGAGTGAAACTCCGTCTCAAAAAAAAAAAAAAAGAAAGAAAGAAACCCAGTTCCCATCGGCAGTCACTCCCCATTCCTCCAATTCCCCATCCCATGGCAACAGTTATTTTCTGTTTCTATGGATTTGCCTATTCCAGACATTTCATCAAAATGAAGTAATACAATATGGGGTCTTTTTAGACTGACTTCTTTCATTTAGCATGTTTTCAAAGTCATCTGTGTTGCAGCATGATTTATCTTTTTTTTTTAAGAGACAGGATCTCAGTCTGTCACCCAGGCTGGAGTGCAGTGACACACTCATAGCTCATTGCGGCCTCAAACTCTTGGGCACAAGCGATCCTCCTGTCCCAGCCTCCTAAGTAGCTGGGAGTACAGGTGCTTGCCATTACACCTGCCTAATTTTTATATTTTTGTAGAGACAGTGTCTGGCTATGTTGCATAGGCTAGTCTCAAAATCCTGGTCTCAAGGGATCCTCCCACCTTGGCCTCCCAAAGTGCTTGGATTACAAGCATGTGCTACTATGCCCAAACATGATTCATTCATTTTTGACTAAATAACATTCTACTATATAGATATAGCACATTTTCAGATCCATTTATCAATTGATAAACATTTAGCTTGTTTCTTATTGGCTACTATGAATAATGCTGCTGTAAGTTTTGGTGTACAAGTTTTTGTATGAACATCTATTTTCCATTCTCTTTGGCATATACCTAGGAGAAGAATTGCTGACTCATACATTAACTCTATGTTTGACTTTTTTATATTATTTTTTGCTTTCTTTTTGAGACAGGGTCTTGACTGTTGCCCAAGCTGGAATGCAGTGGCACAGTCACTGCTCACTGTAGCCTTGACTCTGGAGCTCCACTGATGCCCCCACCTCTCTGTGCAGCTGTGTGACCTCAGGCAAGTTACTTAACCTCTCTGTGCTGCTGTGTGAACTCAGGCAAGTTACTTAACCTCTGTGTGCAGCGTCAGTCGAGTTACTTAAATTCTCTGTGCAGCTGTGTGGCTTCAGGCAAGTTACTCAACCCCTCTGTGCAGCTGTGTGGCCTCAGGCAAGTGACTTAACCTCTCTGTGCAGCTGCTTTGCCTCTGACAAGCCATTTAACCTCTCTGTACAGCTGTTTTGCCTCTGGCAAGTGACTTAACCTCTCTGTGCAGCTGTGTGGCCTCAAGGAAGTTACTTAAGCTCTCTGTGCAGCTGTGTGGCCTCAGGTAAGTTCAACCTCTGTGTGCCACGTGTGGCCTCAGACAAGTTGCTTAACCACTGTATGAAGCTGTGTGACATCAGGCAAGTTGTGTAGTTTCTCTGTGCAGCTGCATGGCCTCAGGCAAGTTACTTAACCTCTGTGTAACTGTGTGACCCAGGCAAGTTACTTAACCTCTTGTGCAGCTGTTTTGCCTCTGGCAAGTTACTTAACCTCTCAGTGCAGCTGTGTGGCCTCAGGCAAGTTGCTTCACCCCCTCTTTCCAACTCTGAGACTTCAGAGAAGTTTTTGTTTTTTGAGGACAGCGTCAGGCCAAAGGTGCAGTGGCCCTCACACTCATAGCAGGCCCCCCCATTCTGGCAGAGTTGAGCTACAGCCTCTGGCTACATGTAGACTTGATTAGTGGCTTAAGGTCATCAGAAGGTGGAAGATTTGTTAGAGATGCTGCTTCTGTGGATTTCTAGAGGGAGGCAGAGATTGTTACCTAGGTCAGCTCCTGATTAGGGCAGCGAGTGGGCTAAGGCAGTGCGTTCCAGCATGTGTCCTAGAGAATGCTGGGTCCTCAGGATACTGATAGATGTCATAAGAAAAATTGGCCCCTTGGCCAGTTCGGTGTGGGATGTTAAACAGATTTCTGTGTGTGTATGTATGCATGTGCATACATGTTCTTTGCTCAACATAAGAAAAGTTCTAAGTGGGCTGCTACATGAAACTTTGAAAGTGAAAATGAGCCAGTCGCAGTGGCTCATATCTGTAACCCCAGCACTTTGGGAGGCCGAGCCAGGTGGATCACTTGAGGTCAGGAGTTCGAGACCAGCCTGGCCAACATGGCGAAACCCTGTCTCTACTAAAAATACAAAAATTAGCTGGACGTGGTGGCGGGCGCCTGTAATCCCAGCTATTTGGGAGGCTGAGACAGGAGAATCTCTTGAACCTGGGAGGTGGAGGTTGCAGTGAGCCGAGATCGTGCCACTGTCCTCCAGCCTGGACAACAGAGTGAGACTCCGTCTCAAAAAAAAAAAAAACAAAAAACTGAAAATGTAGCTGCATTAGCCTGAGAGCCAAGCTGTGCAGCAGATGGCTTATGGCTAAGGCTTGTCAGGTCTTTGCTGGGGATGGAAGTCACGGGGTGTGAGAGCGGTGGGTGAAGTCAAGAACAATGCCAAGGGGAGGTGGGTCAAGTCAAGAACAAAGCCAAGGGCTGCTTCTTTCTCAGGCAGCTCTCACTTCCCATGGGAGCATGGACTTTGGGGTCAGGTGGGCCTGAGGTCATGTTCTTAGTTAGCTACTCACAGGCTTTGTCACCCTGGGCAGGTCATTTTACCTCTCCGAGGCTACAGTTTCACATGAGGATAATACTACATTTCACAGGGCTGTCAAAAATAGATATCAAGGTTGGGAGTTAAATCCAGTTTCAAAAAAATACCCAAACAGGGATATTAAAGCAGGCATGCTGGTGGGTACCTGTTGTCCCAGCTACTCAGGAGGCTGAGGCAGGAGGATTTCTTGAGCCCAGGAGTTTGAGGCTGCAGTGTGATATGATTAAGCCTGTGAATAGCCACAGTGGTCAGCCTGGGCAACATAGCAAGACTTTATCTCTAAAAAAATTTTTTTTTAAACCAGGGATATTAGTAGATGATGGCTGTCATCATCACTGTCATCATTATTATAATTTTCTACCACATGTCTTGTCAGTGTTCATAGTAGCCTTTTCTTATGTTAGTTCGTGACTCAGATCTCTGCTAGGTGGCATCTCCTAACGCTGCAGTCTGGGTAATGTCATCAACAAATCCCCAGTCCGAACAGACACTGAAGTGAGCTCGGCCTGTCTCGGGTCTGTCATTACTTCTGCAGCCTCTGATGAACCTCGCTTCTGGCCTCCTAAGGATAAGCCAACGCCCCACCCCCTCTTTCTTTTGATGAGTCCTTTTCCCTGCACGGAGCTTCTGGTGAAGGTGGTGGGAGTTGTTCTTGCAGAGCACATGGGAGTCCAACGGCCTGGCAGTGGGCCAGGATCTTGTTGCCATGGTGACTGACACTGTTTTCGCTGAAATTTTGCCAGATCCTGAAGATCTTCGTGGACAATCTCTTTGCTATCGTCCTGCTGAAGCAGGCCACAGCTGTGCGCTGCTTGGACATGAGTGCCTCCCGTAAGAAGCTGGCCGTGGTAGATGAAAATGACACTTGCCTGGTGTATGACATCGACACCAAGGAGCTGCTTTTTCAGGTGAAGTCCCCGAGGGGGCCCAGGGACATCGTCCTTTGATTAGAGGCCCTCTCTAGCTTCCCAGTCCCTGCAGGAGGCTCTTCTGCTCTGGCCCAGGCAGGTCTCTGGGAGGAGCAGTGAGGGGCAGGGGCCAAGCACATGCATAGAGTCCCAGAGGCCCTGGGCCACAACCTGCTCCTCCCACGCAGGCACAAGCCACAGGGCCTGGACCAGCCTCTTTAACTTTGGTTTTCTTGCCAATGAGATGAGCCAGCAGAGCCTTTCTTAAGCGTTTTCCATGAACAAGAAATGGGGCAATGACTCTGAGGGGGGCGTGACGTTAGCACTCAGTGAATGGGGCGATGGATGCACTTCCTTTGCAGAAGTCTGCGTCTCACCTGCTGCAGGCCTGCCTCTGTCTATGCACACCTACAGCGAGGGAAGGAAACAGAATCAGTTTTGTCATCTGAAAGGGGGAAGGGGATGGGCAAGCCTGACCTTCTGTTTAATTCACAAGAATCCTAGAAAAGCCAGCAGAATGCGAAGTGCTTGGATCTTTGGGGTTGTAGGCGTTGTTTAGTGGAGTCATCCAGCCCTGTGGGCTGAAAAAGTGTGTCACCAGAGAAGACAGCCCGGCAGCTCTGTGCCCCGGGCCTGGCTGGCTTTCTGCTGGGCTCGTGCCATTCTTTGTCTCTTTTGGGCTTTGGAGGTGGGGAGGGCTGGTTTGGCAGAATCGAGTTCCCCTCAAAGCTGGAGCCCCTCCTAACTGGTTTCCTCGGCCACTGCAGGGTTTCCTGATGTTACTGGCAGATTCAGTTCCCTTACCAGGCTCCTCTTTGCTCTCCGCAGCAGAATCAATAGGGGGGAGGGGCCTGGAGTGGGGAGCAGCCTCAGTCAATTAGAAGGGGTTACCTCGGCCGGGCGCAGTGGCTCATGCCTGTAATCCCAGCATTTTGGGAGGCCGAGGTGGGCGGATCGCGAGGTCAGGAGATCGAGACCATCCTGGCTAACATAGTGAAACCCCGTCTCTACTAAAAATACAAAAAATTTGCTGGGCGTGGTGGCAGGTGCCTGTGGTCCCAGCTACTTGGGAGTCTGAGCAGGAGAATGGCATGAACCCGGGAAGTGGAGCTTGCAGTGAGCCAAGATCGCGCCACTGTACTCCAGCCTGGGCGACAGAGCGAGACTCCATCTCTTAAAAAAAAAAAAAAAAAAAAAAGGAGTTACCTGGCCACCTCTAGCCCAGAGGTGACTCCCTGTCAGTCTCAACTCACTCATGTCCCTGAGAGAGTAGAATGGTTCGGGGGAAAGAGAGGGCACACCCTTCAGGCTGACCTAGGCTTGGGTCCTGCCTGCATCCCTTCCTGTGTGATCTTAAGCAAGTTAGTGAGCCTCTCTGAGCCTTGATTTCTTTTCTCTAAAATGAAATTAGTAATTGCCCCTCACAGAATTGCTACAGGAATGAACAAGATACCACAGTGCCTAGCTCAGTGCTGGGCACAAAATGGGGCCTGAAATGTTACCTCCCTTCTTCCCAGCCTCACCTCCCACCTATAGGGGGCGTAGCTGGCCCCAAATGTGAATCTGTGTCTGAGCCTAGAATCATACAAATGTGGAAGGGTGTCTGCGTGCCCCCGTCCCCACTGCTGGCTCTATAGCAGGCTAGGGGAGGTGATTCTCAGCCCTGCCAGGAGACATCAGCATTCCCAGCTGTGACATTGCCTGCTGGCTTTTCCTCTTCTCCACTGCCCCTCCCCCTACACATAAAACAGCTATATATTTTTTTCTCATTATAGAAGCAATCTGCGCTCATTTATAAAAGATTCAGACATTGTAAAACATTCTAGGCAGAAAGCTGTGAGCATCTACTGGTCCCTGAGGCTCCAGGGCTGAGCAGGGAACTGAGGTGCAGTGGGTGCCTCCCAGGGTGACTATTTTCACAATGTGTGGACTGTAAATGCAAAGAACAAGATATTCTTTTCAAATCTTACAAATAACTTACCGTTCTTTCTCTTATTATCAAACAATAGATAGATGTTCATGACAGAACAAATTCAGGCAAACAAAAAAGATTTTCTCATTACACAATTTCGCCCACCCATTAACGCTGTTAATCCTTTGGAACATATTCTTGTAAATCTTCTGTTTACAGAGATGTATATTCCTTCTGTAATAGAAGTGGAATCCCACTTTGCTGATTCTCCACCTTCTTTTTTTTTCTTTTCTTTTTTTTGAGACAGTTTCGCTCTTGTTGCCCAGGCAATGCCACCATGATCTTGGCTCACTGCAGCCTCTGCCTCCCGGGTTCAAGCCATTCTCCTGCCTCAGCCTCCCGAGTAGCTGGGATTACAGGCACATGCCACCACG
This sequence comes from Homo sapiens, assembly GCF_000001405.40. NCBI lineage: Eukaryota > Metazoa > Chordata > Mammalia > Primates > Hominidae > Homo > Homo sapiens. Next base: position 128,862,935 of record NC_000003.12, on the reverse strand, counting down.
CCCGGCTAATTTTTGTATTTTTAGTAGAGACAGGGTTTCACCATGTTGGCCAGGCTGGTCTCGAACTCCTGACCTCAGGTGATCCACCCGCCTTGGCTTCCCAAAGTGCTAGGATTACAGGTGTGAGCCACTGCACCTGGTCTGATTCTCCACTTTCTATATAGGGACTCATATTGCAGGAGAATATTTTTCTTTTTTTTTTATATTATACTTTAAGTTCTAAGGTACATGTGCACAACGTGCAGGTTTGTTACATATGTATACATCTGCCATGTTGGTGTGCTGCACCCATTAACTTGTCATTTACATTAGGTATATCTCCTAATGCTATCCCTCCCCCCCGACTCCATGACAGGCCCCGGTGTATGATGTTCCCCATCTGTGTCCAAGTGTTCTCATTGTTCAATTCCCACCTATAGTGAGAACATGCAGTGTTTGGTTTTTTTGTCCTAGCGATAGTTTGCTCAAAATGATGATTTCCAGCTTCATCCATGTCCCTACAAAGGACATGAACTCATCCTTTCTTATGGCTGCATAGCATTCCATGATGTATATGTGCCACATATTCTTAATCCAGTCTATCTTGATGGACATTTGGGTTGGTTCCAAGTCTCTGCCATTGTGAACAGTGCTGCAGTAAACATGCATGTGCGTGTGTCTTTATAGCAGCATGATTTATAATCCTTTGGATATATACCCAGTAATGAGATGGCTGGGTCAAATGGAACTTCTAATTCTAGATCCTTGAGGAATTGTCAGGGGAATATTTTTCAAAAGTAACGCCTGCTTACTCAAAAATTCCAACAACACGCAGGTGCATGGAGGGGCTTGCCTCTGTTCATTTCTCTTGCCTCTGTTCATTTCTTTTTGGTCCCCTTTCCTCCTTTTCCCTCCATCCCACTGTAAGCAATTTAGTGGGATTCAGTCATTAAAAGGGTATTAGGCTGAAATGTGCAAGCGCTGCCCAAGCCCAGGGTGGTTCTCACAGGATCCCCACTGTCCCTGTCCCCCAGGAACCAAACGCCAACAGTGTGGCCTGGAACACCCAGTGTGAGGACATGCTCTGCTTCTCGGGAGGAGGCAACCTCAACATCAAAGCCAGCATCTTCCCTGTGCACTGGCAGAAGCTGCAGGGCTTTGTGGTCGGCTACAATGGCTCCAAGATCTTCTGCCTCCACGTCTTCATTTCTGCCGTGGAGGTGCCACAGGTAACTGGGAGCACCTGTCCACTCTCAGCACTGGCAAGGCCAGTAAGACCAGGGAAGCCGGGCCCCTGGCTGGTGCTTTGAGGAGAGAGTAGCAAGGAGAGAAGAATGGCAGCTGTGATGTCGTGGGAGGCAGTCTGGGCTTGGAACCTGCAGCCCTATCTCCACTCCTTGCAACCTGTGTGACTGGGGGCAAGGAGCTCAACCTCCCTGTGCCTCAATTTCTTCCTGGTCCCCCTTCTGGTAAGGATTCAGAGGGGTATACAGTGTTGTCAGCAGAGTGTATTTTACAGAGAGCCCAGTGTGGGCCAAGTGGAGAGAGCAGCAAAGCCGGGAGTCCAGCAGGGTGTGTGTGTGTGAGCACATGTGTGATGGTGGTGATGTGTGTGTGAGAGAGGGGGAAGAGAGAGAGAATGAGTGGGTGGGGGGGGTGAGGCCTGAGGTCTGTGAGCCAATAAGGGAGCATGGGACTCTGCACAAGCCCCCTGAACTAGGAGGTGGCCACAGCAGAAATGGGGCACTGAAGTGTGGAGCCACAGAATGCGGGAGGGCAGAACCACAGACAGGAGGCTGAGATTGACCTCCTGAGTGCAAGCTGGTCTCCCCTTCACCTCCTGCACCCCACGCAGATGGTGCTTACCATAGGATTGCCGTAAAACAGAGACACGCACCAGCGAGAAACTTTAGCCCTTAGTATCCCATCCTCAGGACAGAATCACTCTTAAACATGTTGAAATACATCTGCTTAGAGCTTTTCTATGTGTCTATATAATGTATGCATAATATACAATTAGAAGCATGTGATTTTATAACATTTTTAAACAAAAGTGGAATCACACTGCAAATACTGTTTCATGACTTTTATGTGTGTAAGTATTGCTACCTATAGATGGAACCTCAGATTTACTGTATTCCCCAAGCCTGGACTGTAAACAAGACTTCTCATCCCTTCCTCTATGGCCATCTTCTCATTTCACCTCACATTTGGTTATGACAGCCCCATCACTGTCTATGAAGTGCTGGCTGTAAACTCGTCATCTGGCCTTTTCACTCAGCAATCTCCTGAAGCATGGTTCTGTGTCAGTAAATGTTCTTATCCAGCATGGCAAAATGTTAAGGTAATTGTAGACTCACATAAGTTGCAGGAAATAATACAGAGATCCCTTATACCCTTTGCCCAGTTTCCCGCAATGGTAACAGTGTGCAAAGCTCCAGGACGATTTTGCCACCCATGTTGGCATGTGTAACCGCCCCCCACAGTCACGACACTGAACATGGCCACCACCACAAGTGCCTAGTGTTGTGCTACCCTTTTACAGCCAGCGCCCCTCCCTCCTGCCCGGCCCCCCTGCGTTGTATTTATGGCTGCATTTTGTCCTGTCTTGTGGATGTTCCATGGCGGACAGACAGGCTGAACAAACAAAGGGTGTGCAAAGAAGCCCAGAGCAGGAGAGAAGGCTCCCCAGCCTGGCTCTTGGTCAGCACAGTCACAGGCTGGCTCTGCCTCTCTTGGCTGCACTGTCCTGAAGCAGGAAATATGAGAAAAACAAGTAAAGGGAAAACAAGTCCAGTTGGAGCTATGATAACATTATCTGCAAGGCCAGGCAGGGGCCCCAAAGAAATGGGATCCAAGAGCAGGGACGAGAAAAGCAAGTTCTTAGTCTCCCCCTGGAATTCTTTCCCCATGCCATCATTCTTTGTTCTGCTCTTATAACTATTTTTGTAACTATTTCTGCAAGTTTGCAAGGATTTTATAAGTTCATGTTTTCCCATCTATGCAGGATGGCAAAGGTCACAAGACATGCCTGAATTGCAAAACCTGTCACAGTTTGATTAACTGCCTTTGTTCTGCTTCTGTAAGCTCGCTTTCCCCACCCCGCAAGTTTTGCACCACTGGCTAGCCACTCCCCTTCAGTCGCCTGAATAAAAGTCAAGCCTGATCTTTGTTCGTTGCTCAGCCTCTGGATATTAATCCGCTGGGCCAGTGGCCACCTGAATAAAATCCTCCTATTTCACCCTTTGGTCTCTCCAGTCTCCTGATTCCCACAACATTTTGGCAAGCCAGCCAGGAGCGGAGATGACAGGTTTACTGTCTCCTTTGCCTGTGGAACTGGAGCCCCAGGCCAGGGGAGGCCTGTGACCCCAGGGACCATCAGGAGAACTTCAACCCAGAGGGGAGATCAGCTCTCCTGTGATCCAGTGCCCCTACCCAACAGCGCAACAGAACCTAAAGGGGCTACAGGATGATTCCAGGAACAGCATGCTTCAGGACCACAGTAAGGTTCGGGGCCCAAGGCAGGACCTGTCCCATAAGGGCGGAAGGGAACCTGATCAACTCCCGGGAGTGCACCAAGTAGTCCAACCCAGGATACAAGAGTGGCTCGCAAAGTCAGATGAAACTGGCACCTAGGGCGTACAAGTAATCTGACCTAGGACGCGAGAGTGGCTCACTATTTCGGTTGAAACCTACACCCCAGCCAAACCAGGACGCGAGAGTAGCTTGCTAAGTTGGTTGAGAAAGGAAACTGGAAGCAGGGAGGTGTGTGAGTGCATGTGAAAGAGATGGTTCTGGAAGGAACCAACACAGGGAGTGACACGTGGGGGTTGCAGGTCTCTTAGCATAGACCGTATGCTTCGAGCAAAGTGTGGGACTGACCGGGACTAGTGGCAAACATCCTACGTGGGCTACCACATATGGCTCAGAAAGGTGCCCCGCAATTTAGTAATTGTGGGGGGATTAACGATCACTCCAAAGCTAAGCAGCATCTGAAAGACTCCCGCAAGGGAGACGATCTAATTGGTCTGAAGCGAAAGTGAGAGTGTGTTGTGCCAAAAAAGGAGGAAATGGGAGGGAAGTCGTCAAAACCTACCCGGTTAGAATGTATGTTAAAGAATTTTAAGAAAGGTTATAAGAGGGACTATGGAATCAAGTTGACCCCCCAGAGGTTAAGAACTCTCTGTGAAATAGAATGGCCTTCTTTTAGTGTAGGATGGCTGGCCTAAAGGACTATAGATAGAGAAACAATTGGCCATGTATATCGGGTGGTGACTAGGGTCAGAGAACAGCCAGGGCATCCAGACCAATTCCCTTATGGTCTGAATGCAGCCCTGCCTAGCAGCTTATTGCAGAACGCTCGTAGCTTGAGTTGAGCCAAAAGTGAAAGAGAATTCAGCTTCACTGTCAGCTGCAGAGACAAAGGGAAAGCCACAGGTTTTGCAGGAACCACTGGAGGAGATAGAGACCCCTCCTCCCTACACTCCAATACCCCCCTTTACCAAGGCTGGCTCCTGAGCAGCCAGACTCAGATGGTGATACGCCCCAGGCTACACCCCAGAGGGAGAAATCTGAGCTCTCATCCCAGGAGGTCAAGGAGCAAAGTCAGGATGATTAAGCAGGCTGCCTCCAGTCTGGCTGCACCCAGGTTATGCAAATGCCTCTCAGGGAAACAAGGGGACCTCTTTATTATAATGAACAGGGCCAAGTCCAAGGAGGAGAACGAACTTTCATTTACCAGCCTTTTTCAACCACCGATCTCCTAAACTGGAAACACCATACTCCCTCCTACATGGAGAAGCCCCAAGCCCTCACAGATCTATGCAGTCCATCTTCCTGACACACAGTCCAACTTGGCCAGACTGCAAACAGCAACTACTGACACTGTTTAACACCGAGGAGTGCCGGAGGGTAACCCAGGCAGCCCTCCACTGGTTAAAAGCCAGTGCACCAGAAGGCACACTTAATGTTCAGGCTTACGCTCGGGGCCAGTTCCCAGAAGCAGACCCTAACTGGGACCCAAATGATGCAACCCAGTTTCAGCACCTACAGAGGTACCAAGAAGCACTGCTGCAAGGGTTAAGGGAGGGTAGAAAGAAGGCCGTCAATATAGGAAAGATCTCAGAGGTGCTTCAGGGAATTGATGAAAGCCCCAGCCAGTTTTATGAGAGACTCTGTGAGGTGCTCCGGTTTTTTTTTTTTTTTTTTTTTAAGACGGAGTCTCGCTCTGTTTCCCAGGCTGGAGTGTGGTGGTGCGATCTTGGCTCACTGCAAGCTCCGCCTCCCAGGTTCATGCCATTCTCCTGCCTCAGCCTCCCGAGTAGCTGGGACTACAGGTGCCCACCATCACGCCCGGCTAATTTTTTGTATTTTTTAGTAGAGACAGGGTTTCACTGTGTTAGCCAGGATGGTCTCAATCTCCTGACCTCATGATCCGCCCGCCTCGGCCTCCCAAAGTGCTGGGATTACAGGCATGAGCAACTGCACCCAGCGAGGTGTTCCAGTTTTATACTCCCCCATTTGACCCCGCGGCCACTGAAGATCAGTGCATGGTGAACACAGCATTTGTAGGACAAGCCCAGGGGGACATCAGGGGAAGCTGCAAAAGCTAGAGGGCTTCACAGGCATGAATGCCACTCAGTTTTTAGAAGTGGCCACCAAGGTGTATGTTAACCGTGATCAGGAGGCAAAGAAGGAGGCTGATCAGAGACTCAGGAAAAAGGCCGATTTGCTGTTGGCAGCACTTACAGAAGGGGACAAGTGTCATGAGAGGACGTGGACATGGACATAGGTGCAGACAAGGAAGAAGTTAAATCAGGCAAAGACCCGAGAATTGGGCAAGACTAGATAGGGACCAGTGTGCGCAG